>NC_000012.12:47005582-47157097 GCF_000001405.40 Homo sapiens | reverse complement strand
CTGATGTTTGTTAGGTCCTGAATGTGCAAAAATAAAAGACATGGTCTCTGTCCTCATGGAGCTTAGACTCTAGAAGGAGACAAGTTTTACTATAATATTTATTGAGAACTCATTAGCATTAGGCATTTTACTTAGATCATCTCACTTAATCTTCACAGTAATTCTGTGAAGTAGATATTATTTTTGTCCTTTTACATAGGGGGAAGCTGAGGCTTAGAGAGGTCAAATGACTTGGCCAAGATCACAGCTAGTAAGTAACGAAGGAGAGCTTCAAACTCAGGCAGACCAGCTCCAGATGTTCTTTACCAAAATTGTCGCAGACAACTATGATCAAGGTAACATGTGCTAAGATAGAGGTAAATACAGAGTGTTATCGGAGCACTCAGAATGTGTGTCTAACCCATACTGAATGGAGGAAAGGATGCTTAAGGCTTCCTGGAGGAGGTGGTATGGTCACAGAACAGAACAGAAGTAGGAGTTGGGGCTAGAATAGGTTCTAAAGGGTGTTCCAAGCAGAAGCAGCCCTGTGTGCCCTGAGCCCAAGGGCATAGACTGTGGCACACTTAAGAATGCAAGTGGTTCAGTGTGGATGGAGCAAGGGTGCAAGGGAATGTGATGGCTTGAGAAGCAGGGAGCAAGACTGGAACCTTGTGAGAAAAGGACACATTTGCCTCATCCAATAGTATCGTGCAAAATGAAAATCTTTCTATCAGCTTTGCAGTGCTTGGTAAGAAAAAGGGTTGAGCAGGCTTGCAAAATCCTGTTCCTGTTTGACTGATTACTGCCATGGCAACCCAGCAGCAGCCAACATTGTCAAGGCCTCTTCTTTGGATACAATAATAAATAGTGATAAAACACTACCTCAAGGCTTTATATTTTTGCCATCAGTTAAAATTTTGTTCTTGGCTATGGTGAAGATGTTTTCAAATTACAGAAAAAAGGAAAAAGAAAAAGTATATTTTGAATAAAGTACTAGAAATTATGCATGTGCTTTAAGAACTTGAAGCCCTAACATTTCAGGAGTTCTGAAGGGGCTTTCTCCCTGCTATGAATAAGCACTTGGCAGAAGATAAACAATGATGCAGCACTTTGCAGTTTCACAAAGCATTAGCCCCATTATGTCTGTCATGATTTCTGGGGAGATGAATAGCCACCCCTTCTCCCCTCCTTTCACTTTTAACTCTAGCTGAAAGAGAGGAGCCAGTCTCACTATTATTGCTGGGTGACAACTGTGTGATGGGTGGGAACTTGTTTCTAAAACAATCCACAAATATTTAGATACAGTACCATTCTCAAAGACATTCCCAAATCAGGCAGCTTCTTCAAAAAGAGCAATTCCGTAGAGTAACCGAAGGCATCTCAGCTTTGAAGGGAGACCTAGCTGGGTTCCAATCTCAGCTCTCACTCCTGGCAGCTTCACCTTCATACTTTACCTAACCTCTAGGAGCTCAACTTCCTGCCTTGTAAAGTGGTACTTATACCTGTTTCCTTGCAATGTAGTTGAAAGGATTGGAAATAATGAATGTATATGTGGCAAGCAACATATTATTTGTTCAACAATTGGTCATAGCTATTGTTATGTATTCAGGGTCACAGACTCAGATGATAATTCAAATCATAAAACACCATGAAATGGCTTCGGCAAAAAGTTTGGAACCCTTGATTTACATATCATATTTCATCAATTCTACAACACAAGGTAACTTCACGTTTTCACATCTCTAAAACTGGGATGTCTCTCACAACATACAATGTGTCATATTTAATTGGCAGTGACTTTTCTTTCTTAGTTGATCATAAAATAATAGAGTGTCTTACAATGGAGAAAATCTTAGATTAGATGAAATAGGGTAGCTCCTTTCAGTATATGGAACATTTTACTTTGGTTATAAGCCAACAAATAAAAGAAGGAGCCAAATACAATTTCTATGCAATAAATCTCTGACAGAAAAGATAAGATTCATGGCAAGTACTCATCTCATCTTTCCGAACTATTGCAACCTGGCAACACATCTGTTCCTAAGAGAAGACATGTCAGAATCATCCATCCACTCAGTCTCCTATGTGATCCATACCATCTGGTGCCCTCGTTCTGCATCTCCTCACCCTTCTTCTCCCCACCCCATGGATTCCTGCTAAAACAAAACAAAACAAAAAATACTTAGTTTGAGATTTTCAAAGTTGTTTCTAAATGGAACCAGGCAAGAAAGTAATGAATATAATTTTACAGGCTTGCAGAAACAGGCTAATTACAGTCTTATTGTTGGGGGAGGCAGTAGGAAGATGCACACACACACACACACACACACACACACACATGCACACACACACCCCTCTGTCCTACACTACATATTTCTGCCTTGAGACTTCACATGATGATCCCCAGAACTAGAGCTCTAAGGGATTATGAGTAGTTGGGACTCCAGAGTTGCTGTTGTCACCTGCTTGGAAACAGGAGATCCACACACATACATTTACTCTTTTAGGTAGCAGAACCAGATTATAAGTAGGTTAGGAGGCACTTGACTGGGGAATCAATCTATGGAAGTGTTAAAATGTCATTGGCGAAAATTAGGACTATGATACCAACTAAGATTTTTAAAAGCAAAAACGCTTGAGGTTTTTGAAAGGGACTCTACGTGGTGGCTGAAACATAAAGTTGGTTCTGTTACCTGGAAAGGAGACACTGACCTCTAGAAGAAATGGTTAAAAACAAAACAAAACAAAACAAAACCCCAGCTCCCTCAGGTGCTAAGCATGATTCAAATGAGTGTTTTCGTAGTGCTCATAAGGAAGTCATAGAGTACACTTATGGGATGAGCTCCTGAAATTCTGTGCCTGAAATAAATACTTGTGGTAACTTAAAAGGACTACCAGAAACTGCCAAGGACCTACCATGTCACTCTCCTTACAAGCTAACAAATTAGCCTGCTACTGTTTCATGGATGCTGGTAGAAGATACGCGTTTCCTGGGTCAAATGGTTTGGAACAAAGGGCAGTCAGCGCCTTGCTTGCAAGTTGTGTAGAGACCCTGGAGAACTGTCTCCCATCAATGATGTAATACGTTAAATGCATGTGACATAGTGGAATATAGCATAGTAGGTCCCACCTCACTAAACAAATACATATTGAAACACATAGAGAAAGAATATCGGTGGAAAGGGGCAGAGATTGTAGACTATCTAGAAAGTCCACATGGTCCAGCTCTAGCCTGGAGCACAGCAGGTTTAGTCTTCCCATGGAAACAAACTTGAATGAAAAGGTCAGTTCATGGAGAAGGAAATAGGACAAGGGAAACAGAATTGTTCTTTTATTCTTTGTTCAGAGACATACATATTATTTATTTCATAATTCAGAGGAAAGAATAGAATAAAACTGATTATTTAAAAGTAGAGTAATTGGAAAAATCTTTCCCTAAAGGCAATGCAAAGGTTCAAAGTTTAGCTATGGAGAGCTAATAGGTTCAAAGTTTAGTTATGGAGAGCTAATTTTTTTCCTCTTTCTGTACAGATGACTTTTCCTTTCCTTTGATGATATTTAACAGTTCACAGTTCTTTGTCCTTATATTCAAAGGACTTGAATTGGGAGATAAAGTTGCCAGATTTAAGATGTATTGAACTTGAATTATTTTAAATATGTATATCAAATCAATTGGAACATTTTGTATGATTTTAAACTGTGTAATTCAGTACAACTTGAATTTCTAAATTTCTATATTCTCTTTTTTTTTTTTTTTTTTTTTGAGAAGGAGTCTTGCTCTGTCACCCAGGCTGGAGTTGGAGTGCAGTGGTGCAATCTCTGCTCACTGTAAGCTCCACCTCCTGGGTTCATGCCATTCTCCTGCCTCAGCCTCCCAAGTAGCTGGGACTACAGGCGCCCGCCACCACACCCAGCTAATTTTTTTGTATTTTCAGTAGAGACAGGGTTTCACCGTGTTAGCCAGGATGGTCTTGATCTCCTGACCTCGTGATCTGCCCACCTCAGCCTCCCAAAGTGCTGGGATTACAGGCGTGAGCCACTGTGCCCGGCCTGAATTTCTATATTCTAAGCATTTTCTCCTTTTCCTAGAATCATTACATTTCCTTATAGTATTCTATGTAATAATCGTTTTCTAAATAACTTTTACTAACTGTCAGCCTAATGTTATTTTATTTTATTTTTTTGATACGGAGTCTCACTCTGTTGCCCAGGCTGGAGTGGAGTGGCACAATCTAGGCTTACTGCAACCTCCACCTCCCAGGTTCAAGCGATTCTTCTGCCTCAGCCTCCCAAGTAGCTGGGACTATAGGTGTGCGCCACCACACCCGGCTAATGTTTTTTTGTATTTTTAGTAGAGACAGGGTTTTGCCATGTTGGCCAGGCTTGTCTTGAACTCCTGACCTCAGGTGATCCACCTGCCTCGGACTCCCAAAGTGCTGGGATTATAGGCCTGAGCCACCGTGCCCAGCCCTAATGTTATTTTAGAAGATAACATTGATGCAATACTATTACCTAATCTGTGGAACTTAATCAAATTTCTCCAATTATCCTTTTTATGCTCTAAAATTTAATTCAGGATCCCACATTGTGTGTAATTTTCATGTCTCCTAATTCTCCTCTATCTGGATCAATTCCTTTATCTTTACTCTCTATGACCTTGATATTATGAAGAGTCTTTCAATTTGGGTTTGTTTGATGTTTTCTCGTGATTCAACAGAGGTTACCCATTTTTGGCAAGAAGACTCCAGAAGCAATATTGTGCCCTTCTCAGTGTATATCTCAGGAGGTGTGTGATGTCAATAAACCTCATATTACAAATGGTAATATTGACTTTGGTTAATGTGGTCTTGGCCAGGTTTCTCCACCTGGAATTTATGATTTTTTCCCTGTTGTAACTAAAAAGTATCTTGTGGGGAGATAATCTGAGACTCTGCAAATATCCTATTTCTCATCACATTTTTGTTTACTAATTTTTAACATCCATCAACATTGCTAGCCTATAACAGTTATTACTATAGTGTTTACCAAAGAATGATTTTCTATTTCTATCATCTATCTGCATTTATAAATTGGAATTCTACTGTAAAGAAGAATTGAATAAATAATTTATTCAGTTATCTATGTATATCAGTTGTCTTTGTTTTGCAGTATATGATGTTGATTTTATGTGTCAACTTGACTGGGCCACAGGGTGCCCAGATATTCAATTAAGCCTTACTTCCGGTGTGTCTGTAAGACTGTTTCTGGGTGGGATTAACATTTGAGTGGCCAGACTGAGTGAAGTAGATAACCCTCTTCAGTGTGGGTGGATCTCATCTCATTTGGGTGAAGGCCTGAATAGAATAAAAGACTAAGTAGGAAAGAATTCTTTCTCTCTATGTGATGGTCCTCTAGCTGGGACCTTGGTCCTCTCTGGCCTTCAGATTCGAATTTAGACTGGAATTTACACCATCAGCTTTCCTGCTTCTCAGGCCTTCAAACTCAGACAGGAATTATACCATTGGCTCTCCTGAGACTCCAGCTTGTCAGTGGTAAATCTTGGAACTTCCTGGCCTCCATAACCACATGAGCTAACTCGTTATAATAGATCTCTTTATATATACAGTCACACATTGCTTGATGACAGGATAAGCTTTGAGAAATGTGTCATTAGGTGATTTTGTCTTAGTGTGAACATTGTAGACTGCACATACACAATCTAGACGTTATAGCCTACCACACACCTAGGCTATATGGTATAGCCTTTTGCTCCTAGGCTGCAAACCTGTACAGCATGTTACTATTCTGAATACTGTAGGCAAGTGTAATACAATGGTAAAGTACTTTCGTATCTAAATATATTTAAATGTAGAAAAGGTACAGTAAAATACAATTTAATCTTATGGGATCACTGTTGTATATACAGTCCATCATTGACTAAAATGTTGTTATGCAGCCTATGACTGTATATTTATAAATATATGTGTATGTGTGTGTGTGTGTATATATTATATATAGAGTATATATATATAAAATAATATCCTATTGGTTTTGCTTTTCTGGGGAACTCAGAATAAAATACAGTATACAGTCAAAATACTATTTTTCAAAGTTACTTATGTTAGTTCTTTTCCTCTGTGTTCCCTTTATGTCATGTTGTTCATTTGTAATTGTTCGCTTGTTACCATTTATATTAATTTAAAAAATTAAGTCCTATCCTATCTGGCCAAAATTCTCCAGGACTTTCTACCTCACTCAGAGTCAAATTAGAAGTCCTTTCCACATGGCCTAAGCCTACATGATCTGGCCCTCTTATGCCTCTCTAGCCCCATCTCCTTACCAGACTCTTGCGGACCCCAGTCAGTTCACACTGGCCTCCTTGCTGCTCCATAAGCTCCTCGCTGCTCAACACACCCCATGAGCTCCTACCTCAGTGCCTTTGTACTTGCTCTTCCCTCTGCTTGAAATGCTCTCCCCCATGTATCAACATGGGTGAGTCCCCCACTTCCTTCAGGCTTCTGTTCAAGAGGTATCTTACATAGTTATTTCTTTTTTTTTTTTTGAGATGGAGTCTCACTCTGTTGCCCAGACTGCAGTGCAGTGGCACGATCTTGGCTTGCTGCAACCTCTGCTTCCCGGGTTCAAGCAGTTCTCCTGCCTCAGCCTCCCTAGTAGCTGGGACTACAGGCACGCACCACTGTGCCCAGCTAATTTTTGTATTTTTTTTTAGTAGAGACAGGGTTTCACCATGTTGGCCAGGTTGGTCTCGAACTCCTGACCTCATGATCCTCCTGCCTTGACCTCCCAAAGTGCTGGGATTACAGGCTTGAGCCACCGCGCCCGGCCTATTTCTTTGGCTGCCTTAGTTACAGGAATATGAGCTCCACCAGGGCTTTGTTTTATTTACTGTCATACTCCCTGATCTAGAGCAGTACCTGGAACTGTTCTAGTAGCAGAAACTAAATACATATGTATATATTTGTTACTGAACACTTTTCCCCTCCAACTTTGTTAAAATATGATTGACAAATAAAAATAGTACACATTTAAGATGTACAATATGATGATTTGATACATAGGTATATTGTGAAATTATTATTACAATCAAGCTAATTAATACCAAACATTTGTTGACTTAATCTAATTCATATTTCATTAAGAAATATCTTATAAATGCTTGAGGGGATGGGTTAAAAAAAGAAATATCTTAAGATGTTTTAGCTGTTGATAATAAGTGTCAATTGATAAACTGCCAGCATAAGGACTGGCAATCTGTATTTCTGCCCTGAATCCATATTACTGTAACTGTGTGAGTACAGAATGTGATTTAGTCTATTCATTAGAATGTTTGCCTTCAATATACTCCTCTGCATCTCTTCTAACAGCTGCCTGTCCTTATATAAATGAAACATGTTTTCTCCTAAATTCTCCACAATGAATAAGTATTATTTTTGTGATCAGAGAAAAAGAAAAAGCTATTAAAACAAAGAGCTCACACGTTAAAGCATAAATCTTTGCCATAAAATGATTGTGATACTCCTCCTAACTCTTCACTCTTCAGGTTGACGGGCTCCAGAGTCAACTTTTAAAGGATCTGTCTGAAAAAGTTACCCTGAAACATAAGTGCACCTATAGGTAGGCCATTTACTAATGTGTAAGCCAGTCTGAAAAAGACAGTTATCTCAAATCACTTAACAGGGAGAGGCAGAATAAGGAACTAATAACAGGTAGCAGAAAGTGTGAGGCAACTATTGCGCTGCTTCTCAGGGAATTTGACGAAGGGAGAGAGAATGGAGCCATAATTGGGGTGAGGATGTCAATGTTTCTTCCTGTAGTTTAAACACAATGAAGCGGGGATAACTCTGGAGGGAAAGCACTTAAGGTGAGTGAAGTGTATTGTCAGCTCTGGGTTAGAGTATTTGGAAGCTAGATACAAAATACCAAATTTATGAAAGTAATTGAGTGATGTCTAAACTGAGAAATAATAGCTATAAAGCTGTTTCCATTCGTTGAGAGCACAGATTTATTTCTGTAAATTGAAAAGACTGGAAATAGCCAAAGGGATTGTTAGGCTAATGGTATCCTCCACTGAGTTTTCTGGGGAAGATTCTCAGCAGTGCCATTTCCCTTAGAATGTTACCAAGCCTAAAGGAATGAGGACAGTGGAAAATGAAATGGGGATGGGGAAGGAGAAAAAAACGGGACAGAAGGTGCTAATTTTGTAAAATCCCATGAAATACAGAAAAGATTTTTAAGAGTGACAAATGTTGAAAACAGCTGTGATCCCTCTGGTAACAGAGATACTCAAACAATTTAAGAGACTCTAGTCAGCTGCACCAAAATCTGGAGGATAGAGTAGTCACATCTGAATTAATGATGAATAAATTTGTAAAACTAAGGGTGCATTTCCTTCCTAGAGTAGAAGGCTTTCCTTTGTGGTGAACAACTGGACAAAGTATTGAAAAATAAAGTCTGTATGAACATCAAACATGGCTCTCTGGGCCTTTGTTTTTTTCTCCTAGGAGTCATTTAACTCCAGAAAAGTGAAGCAACACAAATAAACCCTGGATCCCCCATTAAGACTGGGAGTTTCAGGGGCTGTGGTGAATTGCTGCTTATGTTGTGCTACTCTGCCTGTAAATTTGCTATAGCAGATACCTTTGGTTTCCTGCCCTATAGCTAGCCCCTACTCACTCTCTTCTAACAGAATTCTAAATTTTTTTCTAGTATCCACACTTTTCCAAGAAACCATGGGCATTAGGAATAGCTGGTCCCATTCTCATTTCTGAGTGTCATAATTTGATTGTACTAACTGCTGTGGATTTAATGTCCCCTCTAAAATCATAATAAAATTTAATTATCATTGGGATGGTATTAAGAAATGGGACCATTAAAAGGTTATTAGGCCATGAAGGCTCCCTCATGAATAGGTTAATGTCATTATTGTGGAAGTGGTTCATTATTGTGAAAATGGGTTGTTATAAAAGTGAGTTTGGTCCCGTCTGTTTGTTGCTCTTGCCCTCATTTGCTCTTCTGCCTTCCACCATGCGATGGCATAGCATGAAGGCTTTCACAACATGCCAGCACCTTAACATCAAACTCTCCAGCCTCCAGAACTATGAGAAATAAATTTCCTTTATTTATAAATTACTGGGCCTGTGGTATTCTGTTATAGCAACACAAAAGGAATGAAGAAAATTGGTATCCAGAAGTGGGGCTGTTATTATAACAAATAATGGATAACATGGACGTGGTTTTGGAACTGGATAATGAGTACAGGCTGTAAGAATTTGGAAGGGCAGGCCAGAAAAAGCCTAGTTTGGCATGAATAAAGCATTAAGGGCAATTCTGGTGAGGGCTTAGAAGACTCCAGAACTAGGGAGAGCCTAGATGTTCTCAGGGATTACTTAAGTGATCAGATTATCAATAGAAATATGGATGGGTAAATAAATATCAGTGGAAATACTGACAGTAAATAGTAAATAGATATCAATAGAAATAGAACATGGATGGTAGACAGATAGAATATGGATGGTAAATAGAATATGGATAGACAAATAGAAATAAAATATGGATGGTAAATAGATATCAATAGAAATATGGAGAGTAAATAGATATCAGTAGAAATAGAATATGGATGGTAAACAGACATCAGTGGAAATATGGATGGTAAAAGCCATTCTGAGGAGATCTCAGATGGAATTGAGGAACAAGGAATTGGAAACTGAAGTAAAGCCCATGCTTGTTATACAACTGCAAAGAATAGGGCCGAATTGTGTTTATGGCTGAGGGCTTTATGGAAGGTGACATTTAAGAGCAATGAGGCCAGGCACAGTGGCTCACACCTATAATCCCAGTACTTTGGGAGGCCGAGGCAAGTGGATCACTTGAGGTCAGAAGTTTGAGACCAGCCTGGCCAATATGGTGAAACCCTGTCTCTACTGAAAAAACAAACAAACAAATAAACAAAAATAAGCTGGGCATGGTGACACATGCCTGTAGTCCCAGCTACTCAGGAGGCTGAGGCAGGAGAATTGCTTGAGCCCAGGAGGTGGAAATTGCAGTGAGCCGAGATTGCACCACTGCACTCCTGCCTGGGCAACAGAGCAAGACTCCATCTCAAAAAAAAAAAAAAAAAAAAGAGCAATGAACTAGGATATCTAAAGAAATTTCTAAACAAAATATTGTAGAAGCTATAAGGCTACTTTAAACTGCATACAGTAAGATGCAAGAGGAAAGAAATGACTCAGAGATGGAATTTATAATTACAGTCATGTTTTAATCAACAATCACATACAGGCATATCTGAGAAGTATTGTGGCTTTGGTTTCTGACCACTGCAATAAAGCAAATATCACAATAAAGTAAATCGTATGAATTTTTGGGTTTCCCAGCACATGCAAAAGTTATGTTTACACTATACTTTATTAAGTGTGCAATATCATTGTATCTAAAAAAAAGTACATACCTTAATTAAAAATACTTTATTGCTAAAAATGCTAATAATCATCTGAGCCATTGGCAAGCTGTAATCTTTTTGCCGGTATAGGGTCTTGCCTCAATCTGATCAGGGTGGTAGTTGTTGAAGATTGGGGTGGTTGTGGCAATTTCTTAAAATAAGACAAAAATGAAATTTGACTCATCAATTAACTCTTCCTTTCATGAAAGATTTTTTTCTGTAGCATGCGATGCTGTTTGATAGCATTTTACCCACAGTAGGACTTATTTCAAAATTGGAGTCAATCCCCTCAAACCCTGCCACTGCTTTATCAACTAAGTTTATTAAATATTCTAAATCCTTTGTTGTCATTTCAACAACGTTCACAGCATCTTCACCAGGAGTAGATTCCATCTCAAGAAACCACTTTCTTTGGTTATCCATAAGAAGCAACTCCTCATTTGTTCAAGTTTTATCATGAGATTGCAGCAATCAATCACATCTTCAGTCTCCGCTTCTATTTCTAGTTGCATTGCTATTTGCGCTACATCTGCAGTTACTTCCTCCACTGAAGTCCTGAATCCTTAAAGTCACCCATGAGAACTGGAATCAACTTCTTCCAAACTCTGTTAATGTTGATATTTTGACTTCCTCCTATGAATCATGAATGTTCTCACTACCATCTAGAATGGTAAGTTTTTTCCAGAAAGTTTTCAATTTTCTTTGCCCAGATCAATCAGAGGAATCACTGTCTATAGCAGCTGTAGCCTTATGAAAAGTATTTCTTAAATGACAAGACTTGAAAGTTGAAATTACTCCTTGATCCATGGGCTGCAGAATGAATGTTGTATTAGCAGGCATGAAACAACATTTATCTCCTTGCACATCTCCATCAGAGCTTTTGAGTGAGTAGGTGAATTGTCAATAAGCAGTAATATTGTAAAAGGAATTTATATTTCTGAGTAATAGGTCTCAATAGTGGACTTGAAAATATTCAGTAAACCTTGTTGTAAATAGATATGTTGTTATCCAGGGTTTGTTCCATTTCTACAGCACAGGCAGAGTTAATTTAGCATTATTCCTAAGAGCCCTAGGATTTTCAGAATGCTAAATGAGCATTAGCTTCAACTTAAAGTCACCAGTTGCATCGGTACCTAAAAAGACAGCCTGTCCTTTGAAGCTTTGAAGTTAGGCACTGACTTCTCTCTAGCTATGCAAGTCCTAGACGGGATTTTCTTCCAATAGCGGCTGTTTTGTCTACACTGAAAATCTTGTTTAGTGTAGCTGCCTTCATCCATTATCTTAGCAAGATCTTCTAAATAACATCCTGCAGCTTCTACATCAGCACTTGTTGCTTCACCTTGCACTTTTATGTAATGGAAACGGCTTCTTTCCTTAAATCTCATGAACCAATCTCTCTGCTGGCTTCAACCTTTTCTTCTGCAGCTTCCTCACCTTTTTCAGTCTTCATAGAATTAAAGAAATTTAGGGTCTTGTTCTGGATTAGGCTTTGGCTTGAGGGAATGCTGTGGTTGGTTTGATCATCTATCCAGACCTCTAAAATATTTTCCATATCAGCAATAAGGCTGTTTTGCTTTCTTATCGTTTGTATGTTCACTGAAGTAGCACTTTTAATTTGCTTCAAGAATTTTTCTTTTGCATTTACAACCTGGTTAACTATTTGGCACAAGAGGCCTTGCAGCCTATCTCAGCTTTTGACATGGGTTCCTCAGTAAGCTTAATCATTCCTAGCTTTTGTTTTGAAGTAAGAGAATTGTGACTTTTTCTTTCACTTAGAGACCATTGTAGAATTATTAATTGACCTAATTTCAATATTGTTATGTCTCAGGGAATAGGAAGGCCCAAGGGATTTTGAGACAGGGGAATGGCCACTCAGTGGAGCAGACAGAACACACACAACGTTTGTTGATTAAGTTTGCTGTTGGTGGTCCTGTAGGATGATAATACCATATTTTCACTGTACCTCTTTTATATTTAGATATGTTTAGATACACAAATAGTTACCATTGTGTTCCCTTGGGTCCATCACATAGCCTAGCTGTGTAGTAGGCCATACCATGTAGGTTTGTGTAAGTACACTCTGTGATATTCAGATGATGACAAAATTGCCTGACAATGCCCTTTTTAGAAATGCAATGTATGACTATAAAGGAGAAGCAGAATGGAAAAATTTTGAAAATTTTCAACCTGGCCATGTGAAGAATAAAAAAGCCTATTCAGGAGAGCAAACCAAGTGTGTGACCAAGATACTGTTAAGGAGATTAGTATGGACAGAAAGAATCATCAAGACAATAGGAGAATGACCTCAAAGTCATTTAGAGATCCTTGAGGCTGTCCCTCCTGTTACAGGACCAGAGCTCTAGGAGGGCAGGATAGTTTCAAAGGATGATCCTGAGAACCCTCTGTGGGCTCACTATCCAGAGCCTCCTAGATTTCTCCTTCCCACATTTCAGTGCATTGCTCCTCGGCTGCCTTAGCTGTGGCTAAGGCACAGTGGGACCAGGTGTGGCTCAACCCACCACTCTACAAGGTATAAGCCATAAACCTTGGTGGCATTCATGTGGTGCTAGTTCTTTAGGCGTGAGAAATGCAAGAGCTGTGGGGGCATGGTTTCTTTCACCTAGATTTCAAAGGATGTCATAAACAGCCTGGGGTCCCTGATAAAAATTTTTTGCAGGGGTGGAGTAACTACAGAGAGCCCCAACTAGGGCAATGCTAAATGGAAATGTAGGGTCAGAGCTGCCACAGAGAGTTTCCACTAGAGCAATGCCTAGTAAAGTTTATTTCTGGGCTCTCTATTCTGTTTTGTTTATCTATGTGTCTATTTTTACACCAGTACCATACTATTTTGATTACTATAGCTTTGTAACATAATTTGAAGTCTAGCTTTGTTCTTCCTGTTCAAGATTGTTTTAACTATTCAGGGTCTTTTGTGTTTACAAGTAAATTTTACGGTTTTTCTTTTTCAGTGAAAAATGCCATGGGAATTTTGATAGGGATTACACTGAGCTTGTAGCTTGCTTCAAATAAAATGGAAATTTTGGCAATATGATTTTTCTGATTCCATGACCATGGGATATCTTTCCATTTACTTGTGTCTTCCTTATTTCTTTCATCAATGTCTTATAGTTTTCTGTGTACAGATCTTTCATCTCCTTGGTTAAATTTATTCCTAAATATTTTAATTTTTGATGCTATTATAAATGGAATTGTTTTCTAAGTTTCTTTTATGAATAGTTTTTTATTCATGTAAGCTTGTCATTCATGTATAGTAACACAGCTGAGTTTTGTATGTTAATTTTGTTTCTTGTAACTTTACTAAATTCATTTATTAGTTGTAATAGTTTGTTGGTCAAGTCTTTAGGACTGGCTACGTACAAGATCATGTCATCTGTAAACAGAAACAACTTACCTTTTATCATTCCAATTTAGATGCATTTTATTTCTTTTTCTTGCCTAACTGCTCTGGCTAGGACTTCCAATACTATACTGAATAGAATTGGCAAGGATGGGTGTCCATCCTTGCCTTGTTCCTGATCTTAGAGGTAAAGCTTTCAGTGTTTCACAGCTGGGTATGATGTTAGCTGTGGGCTTATCATATATGACCTCTATTATGTTGAGGTAAATTGTTTCTATACCTAATAAGTTGAGAGTTTCATCATAAAGGATGTTGAATTTTGTCAATGCATTTCTGCTTCTATTGAAATGATCATACAGTTTTTATTTTTATTTTTGTTAACATCATGTATCACATGTATTGATTTGTGTATGAATTTCTTAAAATTAGTTTTTTGCCTCTTTCTCTCTTCTTCTGTTACCATAATTTGTAAATTCATTTGCTTGATAGTATCGCATGGCTTCTTTATTATGCTTTCTTAATTCTTTTAATTTCTTCTTTTGTTTTGGTTCCTCTAATTGGCTAATTTCAAATAATCTGTTTTTGATTTGCTGATTTTTTTCTTCTGCGCGATCAAGTCTGTTGTTGAAGCTCTCTACTGATTTTTTTTCATTCTGTCATTATATTCCTCAGCTCTAAGATTTTGTTTGGTTCTTTTCTATGTTTTTTATTTCTTTATTACACTTCTCATTTTGTTTATGGATTGTTTCCATGATTGCATTTGTTTGTGTTCTCTTGCATCTCATTGAGCTTTTTTAAGATAATAATTTTGAATAATTTGTCAGGCAATTCATAGATATCCAATTCTTGGGGGTTGGTTACTGGAGCTTTATTAGTTTCCTTTGGTGTCATGTTTGCCTGATTCTTCATGATTTGTGTAGCTTTGCATTGGTGTCTGTGCATTTGAAGGAGCAAACACCTTTTCCAGTATTTATAGATTGATTTCAGCAGGTAAAGACCTCTTGTTAGGTCCATGGGCTGATGGAATTGCCACCAGGATTGCAGTTGAGTGGGGTTGGAGTTGGGCAATGTGACTGCTGCTGGGTCCAGTGTGAGGTCTGCAGTTGGTGGGCCTGTTACCAGAGGCTCAAGTGAGCACGGATCCTCTCTGGTCCTTGAGTGAAATCAACTGTCTCTAAGTTTTTGGTCAGTAGGCCTGGTTCTGGGACAAGGGTCCACTTCAGGGTTCGAAGCTTGGTCTACAGCTGGCAGGCCTGTTGCCAGATGCATGGATGGGTGTAGTTCCCTGAGGGTCTCTGCAAGGGTTCCCACTGGTTCACTGGGCAGAAGAGAGGGACTAAAACTGAGTCACAGGACTGCTTCAGGGTCCACACACAAGCTCAAGGACTGCCTCCTGGGTCATGGATGAAGGTGCCTCCTCCTGGGTCCTTTGGTGGGAAGGACTGCCCTGGGACTGCAGCTGGGTGGTGCTGAAGCTGGGTCACAGGGCTGCTTCAAGATCTGCAGCTGAACTTAGGCCAGTGAGTCTGCCTCTAGTGACATAAAGGGGCATGTCTTCTGGTACATCCCTGGGATGGGAGGACTGCAGCCAGGTTGCAGCTTAGAGGGCCTGGAGTCAAGTTACAGGGCTCTTTGAAGGTATGCTGTGGAATGTAGGTAAGCAGATGGGCCTCTCAAGGCATGGATGGGCATGTTTCCCAGCAGGTTCCTGTGTGAGCAGGACTTCTCTCAGACCATGGCCAAGAGAGCTTGGAGCTGGGTCCCAAGCTGCTTCAGGATCCACAGCCAGGATTGTGGTCAGCAGGCCTGTTGCCTGAAGCACAGGTGGGTGTGAGTCCTCCCAGGTCCCTTGATAGATGGCTCTGGTGGCAGGATCAAAGCCAAATGGGGCTGTAGCTGAGTCCACAGAGGAACAGAATGTTTCTGATACTGTCACAGGACCACAGTTGGTGAGCCTACCACCTAGCTGTGAGTCTGCCCTTTCAAAGGAGCCATCTTTGGTCTTAGGCTGTGCTTGGGTTTTGCAACCTGGGGTCCACAGCTCCCACAAAGGCACTTTTGTCCATGGATGGCTACCAAGTTCTTGTTGCTGTGGGGAAATATGATCAAGGGACCTCCTATTCCATCACTTTTTCCTCCTTGTTATATCTTAAACAGACACTTAGTGAGGAGCAAATTAAGCGGACTTCTCAAGGCTCTATACCTAGTAAAGAGCAAAGCCAGGACTCAAATCATGGTCTGCTGCTTGCACAGCTGAAATGATCAACCATTATACAGTCTCATCCTTTTAAGTACCTCCAGTGAATTCAGTCTCTTAAGTATGAAACAGCTTAGAGGCATGTAGTCTGTCAGCTGAAAGTACCAAGAATGTTTTAGAAATGATCCCTAGTTGAAGGCCACTTCAGTGAATACACTCATCTTACCTAAGAAGGTTTTGTTTTGTTTTGCTCAGGGTATTCAGCAGGTAAACATATCTTGGTACACATGGGGACAAATTAGTCAACTATATTAAATAGAGAAGGGAGATTCACTTCCTTTGCACTCTTTCCCTGCTTATTCATTGTATTTTGGATATATTTTCTTTTTTTGCATGCAGCCACTACAATTATGATTAAAGGAAAATTCTGTCATATCTTTTGTCAAGACATGAAGCATTTTCACTGTCTTCTGAGATAACTGAATTCTCAATAGTGAAGCAAATCATTAGTATTTCAATCTTGGTTGTGTTTTCTATGTGGGTCAAAATGGAGACAGTATATCATCTCATTCCGTTGATCGAATGAGGAGAGAGGTTTTAGGTACAAACATTAATTAATAAAACAGAGTTAAAAGTGACAACATATTTTGCTGTCCCTGACACTTTGATATATGTATTTCTTGGCAGCTCAAGATGCCAGGGGCATAAAAATCTAGATAATATAGGTCAAGAATCCCTGGGTTTTCAAACCCACATTTTACATCAAAACTATAAACAAATGAATCTTAAAACTCTGTACTTATTTAAATTATGGATTTATTTTAGAATCTGTGCTTTGCTGCATTATATATTTACAAAGTTGAAAAAGATTAGATTTCAGTGATCAGGATGATGTAGCAAAAGCAAAACAATGTTCTTTTTCAGAAAGCATCAACCCATTATTAAAAATCTAGATTATTTGATAAGCAAAATTCCTCATTAATGTGCAGTAACATATGCAAGGTAGTCTTTTAATCCTGGAGAAGCTTGTTCAGAAGGAAGCACCAAAAAATAGAATGCTTATTTTATTTTCAAGCTGGAGTTTTCAATCACCCTGGCAGGATGAGTTTTAATCAGCTTTTGTTGTAACATGAGTAGTAACTTCAATATATACCACACACACACATCATCTAATATTTTATACCCTACTCACACGAAACACACATGTACACACTATATACTATACACCTACCACACCACACAGATACATACACACATACCATACTGCATATATACACTCTACTCTCCACCAAGCACAGAAAAATACGCTATACACATGCCACATCATAGCACACACACCATAGCATATGCACACATATCTCTCACATCAAACCCATGTACACAAAATACCATACAGCACACATATACATACTATATGCACATACACCACACAAGCACAAGACTTTGCCACACATGCACTACACATACCATACCACACATACATTCCCTTTCATACCCAGCACACATACACATACATCCCACATGATCTGGCCACTGGCTGCCTTCCTGACCTTATTTCCAACTCTCTCTCCCCTTTTCACTGTACTTGAGCTACGCCTTCCTCTTTGCCTTGTCTTGAGCACACCAAACACACTTCTGTCTTAGCCCATTGGCATTTGCAGTTCCCTCTGCCTGAAAAACTTCTCTTTTCCTGGATGTGCACATGGTGTACTCCCTTTTCCTTAGAGATCCTTTCCCTGACCCTCCCCCAGTGCAGGATAGCACCCAGATCACTTGCTCTCTGCAACTGTCTGCTGCTCCCCATTACTGTCCTGACTGGCCTTAGCTACCTGTATTCTGAACTCCAACCATAAAATGTAAGTTGTTCTTAGAAATCATCTAATTTAGTCTAACATCCTCATTTTGCACACAACAGGAGGGAAGCTTCAAAAAGAGAAGTAACTTGTCTAAGGTTACAAAAATCATTCATTCATCCATTCAGCATATATTTCGTAAGTACCTATTATGTCACTATTCTCAGTACTAGGTATCAGAGGGGTACAAAAAGGGCAAGGACTTTGAACTCATGAAACTTACAGTCTATTCAAGGAGACAGATAATAAGCAAATAAATACATAAAATAATGTCAGGTAGTGATTAATGCTTAAAGAAAAAAAGCAAGGAGGTAAAAGGAGGTAGAAGCAAGAAAGAGCCAAGAATAGTTGAAAAACATTATCCCAAAGGCACAAGGACATACAGTCTATTGGAAATTTTTCAGAAGTTAAAGCATCTGTTTATTCAAGATGGTAAACAAGTGGCAGCCTGGTTTGCAAATGCAGAAGGCTTAGCTAGGGGGTCATTTGGACTTGAAAAGGAGGCATGGTTTCTGAGTCTTGGCTCAAGGCAAGGATGGTGTAGACCCCTATATGTTATAATGACATTCACATTGATAATAATTGCAGTTAAGATAATGGTGAAATACGTACTGGATCCATTCAAGGCATTGTACACAATGAGGCACCATAGAGTTTAGATACTCCTGTTAATTTCAGGTACTGATAGTGGATAGAGCTAATCTGAGAGCCAGGAACATATAGAATCTTCTAAGAAAATAATTAATAGTCTAAAAATGTGAGCCAGGCTACTGAAAGTTAGGAAGTCAAAAGTAGTCATGCATAAGGCAAGACCAAAATCAGATTACTTGCTTAGTAATGTCCAGTTCTATGCTTATTCTGGAAAGGTCGAAGTCTACTACTGCCATCATGAGAAGAGGCCAAGCAATACAAAGGCTAAGAAGGGCAGATCTGATCTGATCTGAGCCAAGAAGCAATGGCTCCTAAGAAAATAACCTACCAGCATCTCAGAAACTCCCTTTGTCTTCCCATGTTTGAGGTTCTACCCAGGAAGCAGGCACCAAATGGAAATATCTGAGTATGTGTACGTGTGTTTGTATGCATGCGTGTGTGAAAGAGGAAAGAACAGACATGTTTTGGAGGCATTGCTACCTATTGAACAGTATGTTCTGTTTACCATGTCTGGTACAATTATCCCAACTCATCATCTTTTTAAGAAAATTTTTTTAAGAAACAGTAATGTGGGTTTGTATGCTATGTGAAACTCCAGAATGAGGTCTGCTTCTCAGATAATTCGAACTGTTCATAGGCAATTTCAAAAATATTGACCATTTGCACTTAACTAATAATGTCCTTTTCAATGACAAGAAGTTATTCTGAATAAAGTTTCAAATCCCTAAAATGGCTCACACCTCTTAGCTTCAATGTAAACATCTCTGGAAGCGATGTAGATTTTGGGACTACCTAAGCCTTGTAAACTTTAAGTATTTAAATTATATCTTTTTTGTTTGTTTTTTGTTTTTTGGGTTGTTTTTTTTTTTCTTTTTTTCTTTTTTTTTTTTTAGACAGGGCCTCACTCACCCTGTCACCCAGGCTGGAGTGCAGTGGCATGATTTCAGCTCAATGCAGCCTCAACCTCCAGGCTCAAGTGATCCTCCTACCTCAGCTTCCCAAGTAGCTGAGACTACAGGAGTGCACCACCGTGCCCAGCTAATTTTTGTGTTTGTCGTAGAGATGGGGTTTTGCCATGCTGCCCAGGCTGAAATGATTCCTTTTTTGAAAGACAGAATAGCTTTCCCTAAATGTTTAGAAATTAGGATAGAAACATCTTAGAAAAACGTATACAAGAATCTAATAGCATTCTTTTAGGTCTTACATTATATAGCTTAAATATTTTGTCTCCAATAACAGATAAATTATTTTTGCAAAGGATTGCCTTGGATTTGTTGATGATTCCACTCTAATCACATCTATATTTGAAGACATATTTTGGACATGATCAAATAAGAAGCTAGCATGTTTAATCAAAATATGCCATTAATTGTTTAAATGTGAAGGAAATAAAAAATGAAATTAAGACTTTGTTTATATTCATATCATGGGAAATTTTCAAAATAGATTTTGTAATCAGTACCAGAACCTTTCACAACCTGGAGAATGGCAATAAGACATTGCTGAAAGTAGTCTACAGATATGTTACTTCCCAACAATTACAGTAATCGAGAGTGTTGCATAGTTTGCAAAATACTTCATGAGTTCTTTTAATTAGCAAAACAAGGTATTGGCTAGGAAGAAAAGTTATTATTATTTTCATTTTATAGATGAGAAAACAGAACCACAGAAACTGAGGGAGTTACCCAAGGTTACGTGGCAAAGGAGTGACGGTGGCACATCTAGAATCCAAGTCCACTGACTCTCATCATAATGGCCTTTTTATATCATGCTTCTCTTGAACTATGACTTGTCTTCTAGTATATGTAGATATCGTTTATACTTAAAAATTTGCCTAATACTATCTCATAATGATGCTAAGATTATTAAAATGGAAATTAAAGTTTGTAGATATCGTTTATACTTAAATATTTGCCTAATACTATCTCATAATGATGCTAAGATTATTAAAATGGAAATTAAAGTTTGTCAACAGTGTTACTTAAAATTGGGAAGATTAAGGAGTATGAAAGACACTGAAGAACTACTTTCAAAGAGTCATCTTTTAAAGTTCTGGTGTGCAAGTTTTGTGCAGTGCATAAAGGCATGAATATTTGGTTTCTTTCCCAGCTAAGATCACTCAAATTTCCCTTGGGTACATCATGCTGCCTTCTTATTATTCACTTATCCTTTAAAGTAGGTGACAATTTGGCTTTTGTTATCACCTATATCTCATTTTAAAGTGAAATCAGCCTGAAATTCTTTGCATAAGAGGGCTTAAGAAGTCTATCTGTTAAGATAAAGGGAAGAAAATAATTTATTTCAATCATTAGAAACTTTTGACAGGTGGACAGGCTAATTTTCTTGATTTACAAAGCGCTCATTCAAATGAATTGAAAGGTGAGCAAATCAATAGAAAAATGGGCAAAAGATAAGATCATGCATCTTACAGAGCAAAAGTACAAATGGGCAAGAAGTATGTGAAAGATGATTATAATAAAGGAAATGAATACCAAAACATGATATATCTATCAAATTGGCCAAAAAAAAAAAAAAAGAAAGAAATTGAATGGTGAGTACTGGTGAAAGTATGGAGGAAAAAAGGCTACTGTACCCTTTTGGTGGAAGTGTAACTTTGAATGCTCTCCTGGAGAGTAACTTGTTCTTATCTATAAAAATCTTTTTTTTTTTTTGGAGAACCATCCCAGCAACCCAACCACAGCTGGTTCTCCCTGGAGACCATGAACCACACTGTCCAAACCCTCTTCACTCCTGCCAACACCGGCCGCTCCACCAACCATGAGATGCTCAAGGAGAAGCATGAGGTGGCTGTGCTGGGGGCACCCCACAACCCTGTGCCTCCAGCGTTCACCATGATCCACATCTGCAGTGAGACCTCCGTGCCCGACCATGTCGTCTGGTCCCTATTCAACACCCTCTTCAAGAATTCCTGCTGCCCGGACTTCATAGCATTCATCTACTCTGTGAAGTCTAGGACAGGAAGTCTATGGACAGGAAGATGGTTGGTGACCTGACTGGGGCCCAGGCCTGTGTCTCCACTGCCAAGTGCCTGAACATCTGGGCCCTGGCTCTGGGCATCCTCCTGACCATTCTGCTCATCATCATCTCAGTGCTGATCTTCCAAGTCTCTCGATAGAACAGGAGACAGCATCCGGGCCAGGAGCTCTGCCCACAACCTGTCTCCCATGCACTCCGCCTTCCATTCCTTGCCCTGCCCCCAAAGCTGAGTCCTGTATCAGCCCTTTATCCTCACACACTTTTCTACAATGTCATTCAATAAAGTGCATGTGTTCGTGGTGCAAAAAAATAAAAATAAAAATAAAAATAAAAAAATTAACTTTCTTTAACATATTAGCTGGTACTTTGAATAAAAATCTTAATTGCATATATCCTTTGAAGGAGCAAGCCCATTGTATGAAATTTACTATAGGAATATAGTGATGGAAGTTCACCTAGATCTATGGACATGGACACCAAACTCATTAATTAAAGCATTATTTGTAATGGCAACAAACTAAATGACCAATTCCTATCAGTAGAGATTGGTGAAATAAAGTTAAATCCATCGGTGCAAATACTGGTTCCTAAAAGATACTGTAATGTATGTATATGAAATGATTCTCAATATTTGGTAATAAGTTAAAAAATGAGTGAAGGGGTATATATAGTGTGAGCTCTGTTCTGTGGATTAGGAAAGAAGAAAAATAGATTGAAAATATATGTGAAAACATGTATATGCATGTATATATCTTTTTGAGATAGAGTCTCACTCTGTCACCAGGCTGTAGTGCAGTGGCACAATCTCAGCTCACTGCAAGCTCTGCCTCTGGGGTTCAAGCAATTCTCCTGCCTCAGCTTCCCGAGTAGCTGGGACTACAGGCGCCCGCCACCACGCCCAGCTAATTTTTGTATTTTTAGTAGAGATGGGGTTTCACCTTGTTGGCCAGGATGGTCTCGATCTGTTGACCTCGTGATCCGCCTTCCTCAGCCTCCCAAAGTGCTGGGATTACAGGCATGAGCCACTGCACCAGACCTAAGACTTTGTTAAATAGCAATTTTCTTTGAGGTGAAAGATTAGATGGAAGGGGTCAATGCAGGTGGGGAGAGGTAGCTTGAATTTCTGTTTTGTATGTTCTTGCCCTGTTTAAAGTTAATATTTTCTAGCCAGATACATGTATTTTGTGTTTGTTTGTTTTAAATATTAATAAGGGATATCTTCTCTGTATTTCACTGAATTGAAGAAAAATAATTGAAGGAAGAAAGGAAGGAAGGACAAAAGGAAGAAAAGAAGAAAGGAAAAAGTTTCATGTTGATAAGGGAAAACAAACACACAACTATATCTACAAAGTAAATTTTGAAATCTCCTGTACTAATTTCGTAAAGGCCTTGCACTTTCCAAATCTCCTTTTCATTCTCTGAGTGTGACACAAAATGCCCATGATGTCATGGAATGTACCCTCGGGCATCTGAAGATGCTGTTACATCTGGATTGATTATTCACATCATAATACAGTCAGGGACTATCTTAGTTCATTTGGGCCACTTTAACAAAGTGCCATAGACTGGGTGGCTTATAAACAACAGAAATTCATTTATTACAGTTCCGGAAGCCCAAAATCAGACGCCAGCATTGTTGGGTTCTAGTGAGGGTTTTCTTCTAGGTTGCAACCTGCCATCTTCTCGTATCCTCACATGGCAGAAAGAGAGGGAGAGAGCTCCCTGGAGTCTCCTTTATAAGGGCACTAATCCCATTCATGAGGCTAGAGCCTAAATCACCTCCTAAAGGTTCCACTTCATAATACCATCGTATCAGGGGTTAGGATTTCAATATATAAACTTTTTAGGGGACAGAAACATTCAGTCCATAACAAGGACCTTGGTTGCTGGAAATAGTATTTTAAAAGTCATCACTAGGATTCCCTTCTTTCCCTTGCCCTGACAAGTAATATATCTGGGTATAATTTTTGCTCATACTGTGATATTAAACACAGTTTGAGCTGTGGCTTATTTAATGCACACCAGGATTTTATTAGTGCAAACTCTGAGCAGGTTTCAGTGAGTATGAGATTATCAGGCTTGAACCCACATCTCACACAGTCATTCTTTCAAGTCTCACGGGCATGATGTACCCCCCATCCCTACCTTGCTCCACTCCTATAATTAAACCGAAATCATTATTGCTGACCTGAACATTACATGCCTACTTTTGGTCCAAACATGTATCGATTTTATTTCTGTTTTTTCAGGGCCCTGGACAAGGGATGCCACATCAGAGGATCCATCACATCAAATCCTTCTAGGATAGGGACAGAATTATCTTTAGTCTCTGAGTACAATCCCTACCACAGAAATCATGGACCTTGAAATACTTGGAAAATGTGTTTGCAGACATCATGTTGTCTCTTTTAATTTAGCTTATCAAGGGTTGAATTCCAAATTGTTTTGCACAAATTTACAAATATATGAAAATAAAGGGTCAGGAAATAATGTTTGTTTTCATGATTTAAATTAACTTTGCATCATTTTATGGAACTACATGTAAAGAAAATACAGTCCCCTTTGTAAGAAACAGGGGAAAATTATCTTATATATTGTATTTTGAAGCTTTACATATGAAAAATGTTAAGCATATTAAAGTAGAATAGTATATTGAACTATGTATCAGTGTTATGAGATCACCATTATCACCATTTCCCCCCTTGAATGTACTGTATTTTGAATGATAATCTTTAACAAAAAGACTCTTAACTTTCAAAAATTCCACAGACATTGGCTAGATATTTGTACCAGTTAGATTTTGGTTCTCCTTTCACAGCAATGCTGATATTTAGGGGACATTACTCTCCTGCCTCAGAAGCTCATGGCTTAGGTTTTACTGCAGTACCAGTGCTGCACTTGGGCTGAGTCACATATATAGTATCCCTCCAGTTTTCCTTCTAACTGACAACACAGGTTCTGGGGCATTTGGGTAGGGTTGTGTTTAGTTAGGGTTGTCTGGAAATTGACTTACACATAGTACAATGGCTAAACTGACTTCACTGTCAGATGGAGCCCATTCCTCAGCCTGATGACTTCAAATAAACCATCCTGGGTGAGATGGATTGCTTTCCTGATAATGTAAAGACTGCATTCAAACTTTCAATTATAAACCCAAGTGCAAGCCGTTTAATTCCCCCATAGTATTGGGCCATTTACACAGGGGTATTTGTTGCAGAGGAAAAAATTTTATTAGAACCTTACTTTTAATTTGGATATACTAGATCAAAGCTCCAGATTGCCAAGCTTAAGTACACATGGAAATAAAAATTAATCAATATAATGGTTTTGTGGTGCTATTACTTTTCCCCATAACTGTGTTTATGTACACCCACTTCAGTAAATCAAAGCTCTATCTCAACTGACTTGTTTAGAAGAAGCTCACATGCAAATGAGAGAGTTCACAAAAAGGGACAGGTAATTTACTATGTATTAACATGACTACTGGCAGCCAGTTAGTGTTTTTTTAAAAAACAAAAAGCACTGGGAAAATCACAATGTTTCCACTCGATGCTAATGACTTTCCACGCAAAGTTCATTACTGGCCAGGTCATCTGCCTTTCACTTCAACTTCCCTATTTTTTATGTAAGTATAACTAAATAGAAGTAAAACATGACAGGCTGGGCACGGTGGCTCACGCCTGTAATCCCAGCACTTTGGGAGGTGGAGGTGGGCGGATCACGAGGTCAGGAGATCAAGACCACCCTGGCCAACATGGTGAAACCCCATCTCTACTAAAAATACAAAAATTAGCCGGATGTGGTGGCGCATGCCTGTAATCCCAGCTACTCGGGAGGCTGAGGCAGGGGAATTGCTTGAACCAGGGAGTCGAAGGTTGCAGTGAGACGAGATTGCGCCACTGCACTACAGCCTGGCAGCAGAGTGAGACTCCTTCTCAAAAAAAAAAAAAAGAAGTAAAACATGACAATAGTGTCAGCACAATCAAGATGCAGGATAAAACTGGAAATGATCCATGGAGAAAACCCTTTCCTACCCATGTTGCTCCTTCCAACCTTTCTCCCCTTTCCATTTTGTGCTCTGTGGTGTCAACAGTGAGAATTATCTGGAACAATTCCAGCCACTACTGATGAAGGACAATGGTGTACACACCTGGATGCTCTGCCAGATGAGGAGCTGCAACTTTTTACACATTTATCCTAACAAGTTTTCTATGAAAATAGAACGAATTGAATAATTTTCTGCTTAAGCCATAGATACACTGAGTTTCTGAGAGGAGGCAAAGGTTCTTGTATTGATTAAGGAGGGCGTTTTGGGGGCATTCTGAGGTCAAGGATTGGAGTGGGCGGGTGAAGTATCTTTCCTTAGCCTAAGGAGTGGAATGCCTAGGAGTTTCAGATAGTTTTATTTTCTATGCCAGCAAGTGACAATGGCTTGACATTTTTATTGGATGAATCACCTTTTAAGTAAGTGATAGATATTGGAATGCCTCAAGTGATAGAATAAGGATATGTTTTCTCAATTATAAAAGTAACTCAAATTCATAAATATGATCGAGATATCTTCAGTTTTTAAAAACTGTTTTTGGCGGATGACTGAACATACTGAATATGATTATTATATTAAAATACAAGTATGCACTGACTTAACATTTAAGTAATGTATGTAATTGCTTGACACATCTCAATCATCTTCGTTAATTGTAAATAGCTGATTAATATAACTTTTACTCTGATGTGAGAATAATAATCTGTATCTGTAAACAAAACAAAACATAACAGCACTAATAACATGTATCTTAACCCTTAAGAATGTATAATCTGATCATTGCTATAAAAATGTTCATCCTACTGACCACACACTTCTTTTCTTTTTTTTCTTTAATGCTAAAGTTAATTGTTCTGATAAAGACATGAAATTTTTCTGTTTTATTTTCTAGAGGCAGGATCTTACTTTGTTATCCAGGTTGGAGTAGGGTAGCATAATCACAGCTCACTGCAGCCTTGAATTCCTGAGCTCAAGCAATCCTCCTGCCTTAGCCTCCTAAGTAGCTGGGACTACAGATGTGCACCAACACATCTGGCTAATTGTAAAATTATTTTATTTTATTTTTGTAGGGATGGGATTTCACTATGTTGCCCAGGCTGGTCTCAAACTCCTAACCTTAAGTGATCCTCTTACTTTGGCCTCTCAAAGTGGTGGGATTACAGGTGTGAGCCACCACATTTAGCCTCAAACATATAGTGAAAATCACAATTAAACAATTTTCATTAATAACATCCAAGACACAAAAACAATTGTGATTAAGAATATAATGTTGTGAAATAACCAATTTCAATTTTCCTATCTACCCTACCCTTTTTTTGTTTTACAAAAAATTGTGTAAAATATATTAAGTGACTTTTTATTTTATTGTGTGTATTAACTACTAACCTTTTAAAATAAAGCCTTACCACTTAAAAAAATTAGCCAAACAAAAGTTTTTTGTGTTCCTACAACTCAATGGCTCTCAAACTACTTTTGAACAGTAGCATGTTAACTTCAAGTGAAATTTTATTTTTAAAAAACCCATATATGAAACTGAATAATATGAAAGTGCTCTAGATGAAAAGGGAACAAGGAAGTCAGAGTCTTACCTACTAAGTCTCTTCTTTGGGCAGAACTCAAGACATTTTGCCAAGCACAGTTTGAAAACCACTGCTTTTGCTCATTATAAGAAAATTTTTCTTCATTTGAAGCCATGCAAGTCCAATCAGTGTGTACACTACACTATTGATGGTTGTAATGGACAGATGCCTACTAGGCACACCACTCCCCACTGGGGTCCCTCGGAGTTCCTGCCAGACGCATGGTCTCCTCTCCATCCTTTGTACCTTGTGATTCCGCCACTATAGTCACAGGTGATTGGACTAGGAATGGGCATCTGATTTCAGGAGCTCTCTTTAGACTGCCCAGTGGTATTTATATAACCTGGCATGAGAATCCCACCCAAGGGGGCATGCCACTCTTTTTTTTCTTTAAAAAAATTTTTTTTTTAATTGGCTAGGACTAGGATAAGAGGGGCATGCCATTCTGAAGGGTTGACCTATTACTCTCTGTGGGGAATATTTTTAAAATTTTATTATTTTATTTTATTTTGAGACAGGGTCTCGCTCTGCCACCCAGGCTGGAGTACAGTGGTGTGATTATGGCTCACTGCAACCTCTGCCTCCTGAGCTCAAGCGATCCTCCTACCTCAGCCTCTTAAGTAGCTGGAACCACAGGTAGCTAAGACCACAGGCTCAAGCCACCACACCTGGCTAATTTTTATATTTTTCATGGAGACAGGGTTTCACCATGTTGCCCAGGTTGATCTCAAACTCCTGAGCTCAAGAGATCCACCTGCCTCAGCCTCCCAAAGTGTTGGGATTACAGGTGTTAGCCACTGTGCCCTCCCTTAAGGGAATTTTAACTTGAGATGTACAGATAGGAATATGGCAGGGAAATAGAGTACCAAAGGAAGGCAGAAAGCAGAAGGCTGGTAGGCAAAGAGAATTTGAATTAGTTTGTTAAGGCAGGAACAATGAAAGGAAAGAAGAGAGCAGCTGAGTTTTAATGATAGCAGAGATGGAGAAAGGAGCTGTGGATGCCAGCTTCCCAGTTTCTTTGCCAGACCACCCAGGACTATTTGAAGGAAATTCAGAGATGGCTTTCTGCACTTCCGCACTTTCCCAAGTGTCCTTATAAAAACCTCTACCTTGCTAAGCATTCCCTGTTGTTTTCTGTGCAGAAAAGCCTCACTAACCCCATTGCATGGTTTGTCTAATTTTCCAAACATATAATTCAACTCAGAAGATATCATGTAAAGCCAGCTTTGAACATCAGATTTGTCTGTATCTCAAGACTAGGAATCTCAAATGCATGACAGTTCCTCTTCCAGTTACCACACCTGCATCCTTTGCAGACATCAATAATTAAACATGTTCTTTTATTTTACTGCTGAGACAGAAATCAACTTCAGACATTTTTTTCAAACTGTTCTCTAGACAGCTTGCCAATCTATATTATTGATACAAGAGTTGAAATCTGTTTACCATTTTACTTCAGTAAATATTTGCAATGGGATCTTTCTTTTCTTGCTTAGCAGAATATTTGGGTAGATCTCTGGTTTTCAGCGCTCTCCATGACACCTTAACACTTCAGCTGAGGTACCTCATGGGTTACCTCTAAGGGAAGAGTAAGGCGGCCCAGAGTGAGGCTGAAGAGTTGGAGTCTAGATAAAGAAGGTGCCTTCTCCATTTTTTGTTCCTCAAACACTTTTAAATAGATAAGACACTTTTATCTGTTGTATGTATTTAAGTTCCTAGTAAAATTTTATTTGAGGAATCATTTCTACAACTGAAAAAAAAAGTTAAGTTGAAATCACCAAATTGCCATAATCAGCCCTTGAACCACAGTGCTCATACCACTATATTATTTCATAAATTTGACCTGACTCAAATTGGCATAATCAGCCAACAATTTCGTTTTTTTATTTACAGATCTAAATTTACAGAATAACTTTTCTAAGTATTGTTTTTGTGTTGCTTTATTAATGAAGGATGCAACCATGCATCAATGATTCCAAGATCTATCAGAAGACATGACAGCACTGTTCTCCTACAAAACTGTAATGAAGCATAAAGCGGTATCATAATGCAAAAATGAATGTGCACTCTCAACAGTTGAAACATATAGACAGGAAATCAGTGAGTATATCGAAGACTTGAACAACACTATCAATCAATTTGACCTGACTGGAACTTATGGAACACTCCATCCAACAACAGCAGAATTCCCATTCCTTTCAGATACACATGGAACATTTACCATGATAGGCAACATTCTAAGCCATAAAACATATCTAAATAAATGTTAAAGAATTTAAGTTTTATAAAGTATACTATTTTACCAAAATCGAATTAAATTAGAAATAAAAAGCAGAGGCCGGGTGTGGTGGCTCACACCTGTAATCCTAGCACTTTGGGAGGTCTAGGTGGGCAGATCACGAGGTCAGGAGATCGAGACCATCCTGGCTAACACGGTGAGACCCTGTTTCTACTAAAAAATACAAAAAATTAACCGGGTGGCACATGCCTGTAGTCCCAGCTACTCGGGAGGGTGAGGCAGGAGAATCGCTTGAACCTGGGAGGCAGAGGTTGCACTGAGCCAAGATCGTACTGCTGCACTCCAGCCTGGGCTACAAAGCGAGACTTCTTCTCAAAAAAAAAAAAAAAAAGAAATAAAAAACAGAAAGATAGCTAGAAAGTTCTCAAGTATTTGGAAACTAAATAACACACTCTAAACATCCCCTGGGTAATAGAAGAAATCAAACGGAAATTATAAAAGATTTCAATCTGTATGTAAATGTAAACAAAATATTATAAAATATTTCAGTCTGAATGTAAATGTGTATCAAAATTTATGGGATGCAGCTGATGCAGTTCATAAAGGACAGTTTATAGTGCTAAAATGACTACATTCAAAAAGAAGAAGGATCTGAAGTCAATGACTTTAGCTTCCACCTCAAGTATTAGAAAATAAAGAGCAAATATAACCCCAAATCAGCAGAAGAAATGAAATAATAAAGATCAGAGTGAGTATGCGTGAAACAGAAAACTGAAAAACAACAGAGAAAATAAATGAAACAAAAAACAGATTCTTTGAGAAAAATCAACTACATTGAATAAACCTCTAGCCAAAACAACGAAAAAGAAGAGTGAGAGAAGAAACAAGTGACCAACATCAGGAATGGAAAAGCTAACAGCACTATGGACTCAACAGAGTGTAAAAAGAATAATTAGGGAATATTATGAAGAATTTTATGCAAATAAATTTGACAACTTAGATGACATAGATGAATTCCTTGAAAGACACAGACTATGAAAGCTAATTTAAGAAGAAATAAACAACCTAAATAATTCTATATCAATTAAATAATTTGAAATTGAAATTAAAACTTTTCCACAAAGAAAATTCCAGGCTCAGATGGCTTCTTTGGTAAATCTGACCAAATATTTAAGGAAGAAATAATACTAATTTTACAAAAGTTTGCAGAGGAATTACTGGGGAATAAATACTTCCCAACTCATAGCAGGCCAGCGTTATGTTGATACCAAAACCAAAGATGTTGTAAGAAAAGAAATGTACACACCAATATCCCTCATGAAACTTAATGCAGAAGTGCTTAACAAAAGTTTAGCAAATTGCATGTGACATTACATAAATAGGATAATAGTTCATAACAAGTGGGTTTACTCCAGGAATACAAGGTAGTTTTAACAATAGAAAACCATCAATATAATTCATATTAACAGACTAAAATGAAAAACATGTGATCATCTCAATAGATACAAAGAAAGCATTTGGCAAAATCCTACATGCATTCCTTATAAAAACTCACATTAAGCTAGGAATAGACGGGAAAGTCCTCAACCTGAAAAAAAATTTTTTTTCTTTACAGAAAAGCCTTACAGTTATCATCATACCTAATGACGAAAGGCAGACTGAATGTTTTCTTTGTAAGATTGACAAGGCAAGACAGTTCACTCTTACCACTTCTATTGAACATTATACTAGAGTATCAAGCAATGCAATAAGAAAAAAATGTGATTTTTGAAAGAAATTTTTGAAATGATTGGAAAGGAAGAAATAAAATTGAGTTTATTTCTAGATATCTTTATATGTAGAAAATCCTATGAAACATTTTAAAAAACGATTTGAACTAGTAAATGAGTTAAGCAAAATTGTGGGATACAAGAACAAAATGTAAACTCAATTGTATTTCTATGCACTGGCAGTGAACAATCAGAAATTAAAATTAAAAACATAATTCCCTTTATAATAGCATCAAAATACAAAATACTTAGGAACGAATCTGACAAAAGCTGTCCAAGGCTTGTACACTGAAAACTACAAAACACTGCTTAGAAAAGTTAAAGATCTAAATAAGTGTAAAGATATACCACGTTTATGGTTCAGAAGATTCAGTACTATTAAGATGTCTATTATCCTCAAATTGATGTATAGATTGAACACAATCTCAATCATGTACCCAGCAGACCTCTTGTCAAAATCGACAAGCTAATCATAAACTTCATACGAAAATTCAAAAGACCTAAAGTAGTCAAGAAATGCAAAAGAACAAAAGTGGAGGGCTAATACCACCTGATATTAAGACGTATTAAAAAGCAACAGTAGTCAAAATAGTACGGTATTGCCATCAGATAGGCAAATAAATCAATAGAACAGAATAGCAAGACCAGAAAGTCTGGATCTCCACACATATATGGTCAATTGATTTTTGCAGGGGTACAAAGGGAATTTACTAGAGAAAGGGCAGTTTTTTCAACAAATGGTAATGGAACAATTTGCAATCAATACACAAACAAAAAATGACTCTCCATACCTTGGGCAGTGTAAGAAAATTAACACAAAATGAATCATTGACCAAAATGTAAAACAAAGGGCTAAAAAATTTCTAAAAGAAAACATGGGAGAAATCCTTTATGAACTTGAGTTAGGCAAAGATTTCTCAGGTTTGACACCAAAAATACCCTCCACACAACAAAACTTGGTATGTTGGACTTCACCAAAATTAAGAATATCTGCTATTTAGAAAGCACTGTTCAGAGACTGAAAATTCAAGCACAGATTGGGAGAGAATATTTGCTCATCACTTACCTGTTAAGAACCTGTATTGAGAATATATAAAGAACTCCCACAACTCTATCATACAAACCCATTCAATTTTTTAAAAAAGGGAAACAGATTTGGACAGCCACATCACCAAAGATAAATACAGATGGCAAATAAGGACATGACAGTTTGCTTATAATCATTAGTAAAATGCAAATTAAAAACACAATATGATATTACCACACTCTATTTAGAATGCCTAAATTTAAAGACTGATCATAACAAGTGCTGGTTAGCATGTTGAGCAACTGGAATGCTCATATACTGCTGATTCATTTCTTAAAAAGTCATACAACTCTCACATGACCCAGCCATTCCACTCGTACTTATCTTCCCCAGAGAAATAAAAGCAGGATACAAGAACAAAGTGTAAACTCAATTGTATACAAAAAAAAAAAAACCTCATGTATATACAAAGACTTACAGATGAATGTTTATAGGAACTTTATTTGTAATAGCAAAAAAACAGAAAAACACAAATGCTTGTCAACAGGTGAATGAATAAACACATTTTGGTATATCCATGCAATGGAATAGTGTTCAGCAATAAAAAGGAGTAACTATTGATACATAAAACAACATGCATGAATCTTAAAGTAATTATGCTGAGTGAAAAAACTAGACAAAAGAGTACATATTATATGATTCCATTATGTAAAATTATAAAAAATTAAAACTAATCTATAGTGGTAAAAAGCAGTTAATGATTTCCTAGAGATGAGGGTGAAAAGCAAGGAGGGACTGTTAGGGACATGAGAGAACTTTTTGGGATGTTAGATATGTTCATTATTGTGATTGTAGTGTTAGCCTTGTGGGCAGTATACATGTGTGAAAACTTGTCAAGTTAGATATTTTATGTGCAGTTGATTGTATGTCAATTATACATCAATGAAGTTGTTAAAAATGTAAGTACAAAGATGTTCATTGCACTGTTTTTATAGTAGCCCAAAATAGGAACAACAAAATTTCTAAAAATAGGGAGTGGATAAATAAACAATGATGCATTCATAAAATATCAAGTAGCCACTAAAGTGTTTTCAGAGGATACTTAATAACATGAGAGAAAGGCCAAGTTACAACGAAAATTTGAATGAAAGAGAGAATTCAAAATTGTAGATAAGCATGATACTGATTTTGTAAAATGAAAGTATAATAGATACAAAAAGAGAAGAAAGAAGTTACTTAAGGCTTGTGATGCCCTGGCTCTATCATCTGTGTTTAGAACACTCATTGTAACAAATATGCATATTCAACTTTTGTTCTTGCCTTCTTATATCCACTGAGTTTTTACTTGAATATAAAATACATTAAGGGAAAAGAAACTGTTATTAATTTTTTTTGATATACTGGTGGCCTTACTATAGAATTTTGGTACATTGTTTTGTTGATTCTATGAAACTGTGTATATCTTAACCATATATCAAATTTTTAAAGGGAAATGTTTGTGCAATCTCTATTCTCTATAGATAATTGATGTCATAAAAAAATTAAGCACCTTTGTTTGAACTCTGCATGGATAAAATACAACTATGCTTGGGTAGAGTTGGAGTTATATGAGGCTATGTTCACACACTGGCTAGAAGGAGCAATTAGAGCTCAAGTAATGTCTGTTATATCTTACAAAACAATTTTTAGTGTTCGGTAACATGAAAGCACTTTTTTACCTAACAAAAGTTGTTAAGAAAGGTTTTTTGACCACTAGCTGTAACTGAATGCGGATCTCTTCAATGTGACTGCTATCAAAGACATTACCTTGTTTTGTGGAAAACTAACAATCTCCTTATTTTGTCTCAACTGTGACATAACCATGTAATTATGCTAGAAAGTAGGATTTCTACATAAGGCAGATGACAAATAATTCTTCGTTCTAACCTAAAAGGCTTATTTTCTGCATTCTGCTTCTTACCCTATGGTACGCTTCCCATGAAACTCAGATATCTCCACTACAATGAGAAAGTAGCAAAAGAAAATGAGCTGATGGTTTTTGTTTTTGATTTAGAGGATTATAATCTCCAGGAGGTCAGTGACATTCTTTAGTGAGTTCTCTAAAACAGATAGGACATTGCAGAGTGCTTAATAAATCTAATCATTGAACAGATTTTTGACAAGATTTGCATTGTACAGCCAAGCTCTGCACATGAGAGCAAGACAGACTTGTAAATCACCTATCATCAGTGCCAAGGTTTGTATCCATCTTCAAATTCTTATTTTCCAGATTTGAAAGACTCAACTATAGCCTACAGAAAAGATGCTCAATGCCTTAGGAAAATGTTTATTTTTTAAAAAAGAATGATACTGGCTAAGAGTAAAGAGTTGAAAGGAGAAAGCCTCCATTACTCTAGTTTTCCATACTAAATATCTTGACTAAAAGATTAAGCAGCTGCAAGATGTTTAATGATTTTCTATTACTGAGGACATAAGGAAGACATTTATTTTTCACACATAACAAAATATAGTTTGAGCAATTATGATGTAAGTCACATCCAGACAATGTGAAATGTAAAGTTCTGGATCAAGGGAGTATATGGATCCAGTTGGCTTTCTGCCCATCAGGGAGACACATTGGCTGCAATTACAAATGAAGCAAATTTTCTGTGGTGTAAACCTGTATGTCAGTGGTAAATCTGCTGTGGTGCTTAAAAAAGGCCAGAGTGAATCACTAGATTGTATACACATTCTCCAACAATATGTGTAATTAGGCCAAGAGATGAACGCCTAATTTAAAATAACAATGGCAAACATTTAGAGTGATTACTGTGTATTAAATGTCCATTTTATTATTTCAATTAATGTTTTTTATAACTTCATGAGGACCAAACTATAATTATACCCATTTTAGAGAAAAAAAAAGGGAAGTTCAGAGCATCTTTTTTTTTTTTTTTTTGAGATGGAGTCTCGCTCTGTCACCCAGACTGGAGTGCAGTGGCATGATTTCAGCTCACTGCAACCTCCCTAGGTTTAAGCGATTCTCCTGCCTCAGCCTCCCGAGTAGCTGGGATTACAGGCGCCCACCACCATACCCGGCTAATTTTTGTATTTTTAGTAGAGACGGGGTTTCACCATGTTAGCCAGGCTGGTCTCGAACTGCTGACCTCAAGTGATCTGCCCACCTTGCCTTCCAAAGTGTTGGGATTACAGGCGTGAGCTCCACCACACCCGGCTCAGAGCATCTTTTATCACTTATTTTGACAGAGACAGGAAAGAAGCTTAAGTCCATGGTGCTCTTAATTACTTCTCTACTACTCCCATCAGCAGGAACTTCCTAAGGCAGAGCAGCCAACTTAAGTCAACATCTAGAAAATTCTCTTTGGACATTTAATTAGATTAAATTATTGTTCTACTAAAAAATGTATTAGAACATGTAAAACATGCATTCTTATTTCTACGTATTGGAGAAAAATGGCAAAGGAGATTTCTTTAAAAAAAGAAAGCCTCCAACATTTTAAATTAATTAAAATACTCAGTTTGCTTTGGGCTTCATTTTAGTTTTCATTTTTTTAAGATCTGAAGTGGTTTGGTTTTGAATGAGTCAGTGTTTTCAGAGCAGATTCTCTCCTTCAGGGCAATGAGTACCCACTAACGATTCATAACTTTGTAGCCATGAAAGGAACCATGCAAAAACAAGTGAGAAGCCCCTGCCTTCTGCCAAAGTCTCATTTATAAACCGTCGCCTACAATGTATCACCGGGATTGTTTCTTTCCTTGTGTTTAAAGAATAAGATTTTTTCACTCATTTTTAATGCTTTATGGAGAAATAATTCACATAACATACACTTTATCCATTTAAAATGTACAATTCAATGGTTTTTAGTATTTTCATAGACATGTGGAACCATCACCACAATTTTAGAACATTTTTCATCACCTCTGAAAGCAGCCACATACCCTTTAGCTATGTCCCTTTTCTATACCGCCATTTTTTCCACCCCTAGGCAGCCACGAATCTACCTTCTGTCTTTATAGATTTTCCTGTTAAGAACATTTCACATAAATTGAATCATATAATGTGTGATCTTTTATGACTGGCTTCTTCCACTTAGCATAATGTTTTCAAGCTTCATCCACGTTGTAGCATGTATTGTACTTCATTATTATTATTATTATTTTTTGAGATGGAATTTCACTCTGTCACCCAGACTGAAAGGCAGTGACATGATCTCAGCTCACTGCAACCTCTGCCTCCCGGGTTCAAGTGATTCTCCTGCCTCAGCCTCTCGAGTAGCTGGAATTACAGGTACTGACCACCATGCCTAGCTAATTTTTGTATTTTTAGTAGAAACGGGATTTCATCATGTTGGCCTGGCTGGTCTTGAACTCCTGACCCCAGGTGATCCTCCCACCTCAGCCTCCCAAAGTGCTGGGATTACAGGCATGAGCCACTGCGTCTGGCCTGTACTGCATTCTTTTTTATGGCCATAACATATTCCACTATGTAGATATGCCTCATTTTCTTAATCCATTCATCAGTTGATGGACATTTGAGTTGTTTCCACCTTTTTTTCTATTATAAATAATACTGCTATAATCATTTGCATACAAAATTTTGTGTGGGCAAATGCTTTCACTTCTCTTGAGTATATACCTAGAAGTAGAATTGCTGGACCATATGGTTACTCCTTGTTTAACTGCTTGAAAAACAGACTATTTTCCAAAGTGGCTGCATCATTTTACATTTCCACTAGCAGCACAGGAGGATTCCAATTTCTCCACACCCTTGTCAACATTTGTTATCTGAATTTTTGTTTTTAGCTATCTTAGTGGGTGTGAAGTGGTATCTCATTGTAGCTTTCATTTGCATTTCTCTGATGACTAATAACGTTGAGCATCTTTTCATGTACTTATTGACCATTTGTGTATCTTCCTTGGAGAAATATCTATGAATATCATTTTTCTATTTTTTAATTGGGCAATTAATCATTTTATTATTATTATTATTATTATTATGGAGACAGAGTCTCACTCTGTCCCCCAGGCTGGAGTGCAGTGGTGTGATCTTGGTTCATGTAACCTCCGCCCCCTGGGTTCAAACAATTCTCATGCCTCAGCCTCCCCCAAGTAGCTGGGATTACAGGCACCTGCCACCATGCCTGGCTAATTTTTGTATTTTTAGTGGAGATGGGGTTTTCCCATATTGACCAGGCTGACCTCAGATGATCCACACGCCTCAACCTCCCAAAGTGCTGGGATTATAGGTGTGAGCCACCACGCCCGGCCTAATCTTTTTATTATTGAGGTGTAGGAGTTCATATATATTCTGGACATAAGTCTCTTGCCAGATTGCAAACACTGTCTCCCATTTTATGAGTTGTCTTTTCACTTCCCTGATAGTGTTTTTTGAAGCACAAAAGTTTTTAATAGTTTTCTTTCTTTCTTTTTTTTAAGAGATGCAGTTTCACTATGTTGTCCAGGCTGGTCTTGAACTTCTGAGCTCAAGCAATCCTCTCATCTCCCTATAATCCCAATACTTTGGGATTATAGGTGTGAGCCACCATGCCCAGTCAAAAAGCTTTTAGTTTTGATGAAGTCCAATTTATCTATTTTTTCTTTTGTTGCTTGTTGTCATACCTAACAAATTATTACCAAATCTAAGGTCACAAGTATTTACGACTCTGTTTTCTTCTAGGAATTTTGTAGTTTTAGCTCTTAAGTTTAGGCCTTTGATCTATTTAGGATTAATTTTTATATTTGGTGTGAGGTAAATATATTTATTTATTTTATTCTTTTGCATGTGGTTATGCAGTTGTCCCAGCACTATTTGTTGAAAAGACTATTCTTCCCTCATTGAACGTTTTTGCATCACTGTTGAAAATCAGCTGGCTATAGGCATGTGGATTTATTTCTAGACTCTCAATTCTATTCCACTGATCTATATGACTATCCTTATGCCAGTACCAATACAGTTGTTTTGTAAAAATAAGGTTTTAAAAACACTCATGATTGTGAACTCCTATTCACAATTGCTTCAAAGAGAATAAAATACCTAGGAATCTAACTTACAAGGGATGTGAAGGACCTCTTCAAGGACAACTACAAACCACTGCTCAAGGAAATAAAAGAGGACACAAACAAATGGAAGAACATTCCATGCTCACGGATAGGAAGAATCAATATCGTGAAAATGGCCATACTGCCCAAGGTAATTTATAGATTCAATGCCATCCCCATCAAGCTACCAATGACTTTCTTCACAGAATTGGAAAAAACTAATTTAAAGTTCATATGGAACCAAAAAAGAGCCCACATTCCCAAGACAATCCTAAGCCAAAAGAACAAAGCTGGGGGCATCATGCTACCTGACTTCAAACTATACTACAAGGTTACAGTAACCAAAACAACATGGTACTGGTGCCAAAACAGAGATATAGACCAATGGAACAGAACAGAGCCCTCAGAAATAATACCACACATCTACAACCATCTGATCTTTGACAAACCTGACAAAAACAAGCAATGGGGAAAGGATTCCTTATTTAATAAATGGTGCTGGGAAAACTGGCTAGCCATATGTAGAAAGCTGAAACTAGATCCCTTCCTTACATCTTATACAAAAATTAGTTCAAGATGGATTAAAGACTTACATGTTAGACTTATAACCATAAAAACCCTACAAGAAAACCTAGGCAATACCATTCAGGACATAGGCATGGGCAAGGACTTCATGTCTATAACACCAAAAGCAATGGCAACAAAAGCCAAAATTGACAAATGGGATCTAATTAAACTAAAGAGCTTCTGCACAGCAAAAGAAATTACCATCAGAGTGAACAGGCAATTTACAGAATGGGAGAAAATTTTTGCAATCTACAAATGGCTAATATCCAGAATGTACAAAGAACTTAAACAAATTTACAACAAAAAATCAAACAACCCCATCAAAAAGTGGGCAAAGGATATGAACAGACACTTCTCAAAAGAAGACATTTATGCAGCCAACAGACACATGAAAAAAATGCTCATCATCACAAGCCATCAGAGAAATGCAAATCAAAACCACAATGAGATACCATCTCACACCAGTTAGAATGGTGATCATTAAAAAGTCAGGAAACAACAGGTGCTGGAGAGGATGTGGAGAAATAGGAACACTTTTACACTGTTGGTGGGACTATAAGCTAGTTCAATCATTGTGGAAGACAGTGTGGCGATTCCTCAAGGATCTAGAACTAGAAATGCCATTTGACCCAGCCATCCCATTACTGGGTATATACCCAAAGGATTATAAATCATGCTGCTATAAAGACACATGCACACGTATGTTTATTGCGGCACTATTCACAATAGCAAAGACTTGGAACCAACCCAAATGTCCAACAATGATAGACTGGATTAAGAAAATGTGGCACATATACACCATGGAATACTATGCAGCCATAAAGAAGGATGAGTTCATGTCCTTTGTAGGGACATGGATGAAGCTGGAAACCAACATTCTGAGCAAACTGTCGCATGGACAGAAAACCAAACACTGCATGTTCTCACTCATAGGTGGGAATTGAACAATGAGAACACTTGGACACAGGATGGGGAACATCACACACTGGGGCCTGTCATGGGGTGGAGGTAGGGGGGAGGGATAGCATTAGGAGATACACCTAATGTAAATGACGAGTTAATGGGTGCAGCACACCAACATGGCACATGTATACATATGTAACAAACCTGCACATTGTGCACATGTACCCTAGAACTTAAAGTATAATAAAAAAAATGAATGAAGTACTGCTACATGTTACAACAGGGATGAACCTTGAAAACATTATGCTGGCCAGGCACAGTGACGCCTTTCTGTAATCCCAGCATTCTGGGAGTCCATGGTGGGAGGATCACTTCAGCCCAGGAGCTCAAGATCAGCTCAAACAGTCCTCCCATCTCAGCCTCCCAAGTAGCTAGGACTACAGGCATGCACCACCATATCTGGTTAATTTATCAATGTTTCTTTCTGAGGTGATGAAAATATTCCCAAATTGACTGTGACAATGGCTGTACCTATTTGTGAATATACTAAAAACCATTGAATTGTGCATTTTAAGTGAGTAAATTGTTGATATATGAATTATGTCTCAGTAAAGCTGTTTTTAAAAAGTGCTAAAATATAAAGCTTTTTCCTTTCTTCTGAAATCTTCCTAGACTTGCAGTGGTATTTTTTATTTGCTACTTAATGTTGTTCTGAATAAAGAAAAAATTAAATTTAAAAAACACTCATGATTAACACAGTCCAGGATCTCACAACTTTGACATTTTCAATAAATGAATAATTAATATTTAGATTGGCAAATAATTTGGCTCAAATGATCTAACTACCTATTAAAACCTTATACTATACTAGTAATGAATTATTATAAAGTTGGGACAAAATGTATATGACAAAGACTCATTTTCTTATCTGATGGTGTTTTTTGAAAATTAACATCTCAAAATAAAATGTTCAATTTTGTGACTAGAAAAAAACTCTATGCCAATCTATTTTTTTCAGCAGATCAAAAAACAGACCTTCACTCTTTCCATAATAAAAATGTCACCTTTCCCATACTGTGACCTAGAAAGTATTTGCTCCATTAAATTTATTTGCAGACTAGAAATAATTCAGTTGCTTTGACAGACTATGTACCTTTCCAAAAGGAACAAATAATTATTGGTGAGGACAGAGCTTATCAACATCTTTTTTGTAATCAAGGCTCATCACACTCAGGGTGTGTCTGCAAATATTTATATGAATTTTGTATTTGCCTTCCAATTACTTGACACCATGTAGATACGTTGATAGTAAAGGTCATTTTAAAATAGAAACATGTTGAGAAAGTAACCATCATATTTTGAAACAAAACATTAATGTGATATGCTAATAGAAATCATGAAACAATTGAATCAGGAATATTTTCTTGTTCTATATACCTTATTTATTTCAAGTTTTCATTATTCTAACTAGCATAGATTTCTAGTGAGCTAATTTAAAAGAATATAGTTTCACTAATGTGAAGTAAAAGCTAAAGTGCCCTTAGATGCCAAAAACCAATCCATACAATATCTTTGGATCAGAGCCTGGCATAGCAGTTCACTTTGTCGTATACAATTATTTTTCATTGTGCATATTAAATAATTTACACATAAAATAATTATAGGAAGATGTAAGACATGTTAATTTTACAGGGTGTCTCCAATCTGCTATAGACCATCATCATGTCATTACCTCACTTAGAGAATAAATGGTTGTACATTAGGTGAACACAGAACTTAATCTCTAAGATAAGGAGACTACATATCACCTTTTTAAAACAGCAAAGTAACAAATTATTTTCTAATCTGAAACATTTCTAGAATAAGCAGGGGAAGAAGAAAAAGATGAGGGGAAGGAGAAGAGGGAGGAGGGCAAGGAGAATGGAGGGAGGGGAGGAGGTATCAAAGTGTTCATATTGCCTTCCTTTATTGAAGCAGTTTCTGGTTGTACCTCATGAGTGTGGCTACAGCTTTAAGACAAAACCTTCTGTGTTTGTCCACCAAAAAAGTACAAAATGAAGGGTCCAGATAGTCCACAGACATTGCGGGAGGGGCAGGGGAGCAAGGAGGAAAGAAACCACAATAGCAGGAGTGAGAACCGAGTGAAGATACCATGCAAAGGTGGTTTAATGTCGTTTGGGCAGAAAATAAAGGAGCAGCAGACCCCTTCAACTGTTTACCACCGTAATTCCCCCACCATTAGTATCAGGATTGAAAATTAGGCCTAACTCAAAGAAGGCTGACACTCTTGGTTTTGGTAAGATCCTAAAATCACCATACATTTATTCATTTATATAAGTATTTATTGATAACCTGTGTCCAGGCTTTATTATATACCTTTTTATACACTTAGATAAACAGGTAACATCCTGTTTTACTCAGACCCTACTGAATAATTTGCTGTATTTGTTCTTTATTATTTTTGAAAAAGATACCAACTTTGGAGTAATTCAAACAAGTTATAGTTTTAATTTGCATATAGTCCAACTTCCCAAATCTACTTCCCACCTGTATTTCCAGACTATGTTATTAAACCTTCTTTAATGGACAGCAGGAAAAATGAAAGTGTAATTTCCTAAAAACGTGCTGTGTCATGAAGTAAGATGATCACGATGGAAAGCCAGATGCTGCCATTAGCTAACTCTTCAAGGCTTACTCTGAGGCCTGTACGTTGTTGGCAGTCTCTGGTGTTGGGGACCTTCATTCCTGCTCCAGCTGGAGGGCTTGGTGCAGCAACCTCAAGGCTTCTGGGCTAGGAACATCTGCTTTATCTTAAGAAAGCTCTACAGATCAAGCAGTAGCAGAAGTAGTGGGGAGGCAGCCTCCTCTAAACAACGGCAATGTAATTTTGAACCAGAATTGAGGCATGTGCTTATGTGCTAAGAGCCAGACACTGGGCTGTTCCCAGGGGTAACGTTCTCTGTCTCTGGTGCAGGGGTTCTAAGGCGACAGAGCAGAGTGTGGAGAAAGCTGCATGTCCAGCTTTGACAGGCCAGATTTTAATGAACTGAAAAGCCTCTTTCCAGACTTCAAATATTTCTGCTTTTAAGTCATAAGTTGGACTTGAGGCAGAGGGCCTGAGTTTGAATCTAAACTCTATCACTTACTTTCTATGTGGGCTCAGTTTCCTCATGTGTCAAATGGGAGAGATTAGCATCCAACTTGCAGGTTTGGTGTGAAGATAAAAGTGTAAAAGATAAGCCTCTAAGTGGCACATAGTGGATACTCATGAAGGTGTGCTGAATCTGAATTCTGATAGCTGCTCTCTCTGTACAAGTGTGCTCCTGTGTTATGGCTTTGCATCTTTCCCCAAGCCCAGTAAATCTGTAGTCAATTATCTAAGTCCTAGATTCCCATCTGGAATCACAAGAGGAAGAAAGAACTATGCAGACATACAAAGGGTTTCCCCATTGTGTACCTCTAAATAAATTATGTGTGTGTGTGTGTGTGTTTTTTTTTTCTTTTTTAGATGGAGTCATGCTCTGTCACTCAGGCTGGAGTGCAGGGGCGCAATCTCGTCTCACTACAAACTCTGCCCGCCACCACACCCAGCTAATTTTTGTATTTTTAGTAGAGACGGGGTTTCGTCATGTTGGCCAGGCTGGTTTCGAACTCCTGACCTCAGGTGTTCCACCTGCTTTGGCCTCCCAAAGTGTTGGGATTACAGGCGTGAGCCACTGTGCCCAGCCATGCAATTCTTAAAATTACATTCTTAAAAAAAAAAAATTGCATTTTGGCTACACTTTGGACATATATGGTTCTCTGCATACAGGTCCCACAGATTTCTGATGCAAACTAAAAAGCAGTACAAATCTGGTAAAATCTGATTGTCTGAAGCCTCTCAATCTTTCTGCTCCTTTTGGGAGGTGGGGGTAGAACAGGGGAATAGGATTTGAAGCAGGAGCGTCATCAGTATGGAACAATGCAGTATAAAGCATGAAAGCTGAGCAAACAGTCAGATCTGGACAAGCTTCTTTCTCTTTGTTGCCAAATTTGGAGTAAAAAATGCCTCATCATGTCATGGTTGTGAAGATTGAACTAAATCATGTATGTAAGCTGCCTAACACCGTGCCTGATACATAGTATATGTTCAAGAAAAGTGAGGTATTTTCATTCCCCTTCTGTGATTCCTAAATTCAGAGATTTTCCCATCTTCTGAATTTCCATAGCCGTCTCTGATACCATATATTATGTCCTCACTTGTACAGTATTATGTAATTGAGTATAAATCCTCTCCCCTACTTCTTTAGAACAGGGACTCTGTCTGAGCATCTTAGTATATCCCAGAGACCAAACCCAGTGCCCAGCTTTACAGAATGAATAAGACATCCCCAAGTCATTGGGAGGGGATTGTGTATGTTTTTAAATAATGCTAGTTCTGTTGTCCAGTTTTTGGTAATAGATTGTAAAGGCAAACCTAACAAGAGTGAAGGAATATCAGTTAAGAGGAAAGGAAAGGAAATTCCATTTGCTTTTGCACACAGCAGGGCAGTCGTATGTGCAAGGGCTGACATGCCCAAGAAGCTGTTACCGCTCTCTGCAGGCTGAGGCTCTTTACTGTAAAAATGAAACTTTAGTCTCTTAGCTGAAGGAAGGAAGCACTTGAATAATCCCAGTACTCCCTGGAGCCCAGGGAAGAATTGAAGAGTCTTCCAAAAGGCATAAGAGAAAGGCAGGTACTATGTCTATTACAAACACTGGCTAATAATGTGACCTTACAGAGTTTTTAAGAGACCACACATTGGAAGGCATCATGGTAAAATAATGTACCCTGGAAGTAGCTTTTTACGACAAACACTCAAATTTCTAATTACTGAGGTCCAACATATAGATTGTGATTAAAATCACAAACAAAGCTTCAGCTAAAATCACCGTTTTGTTAAATAGAAACAGCCAGGGAAATAGTGAGTGGAAGTGGTTGCTTCATTTCCTCCACTAACATCATGGAATATGGAGAGATATATTTTCCTCCAGGATAGAAACTTAATGAAGTATAGAGAAATTTGCTAAGAGAATCTTATTAAAATGGATCTTACTTAAAATTCTAAAGCATAGCTTTTAGTCTTTAAACAATCAAGACTCTGTATTTGGAAGTCATTAGGAAATAAAGTCACTTTTCAGTGGACTGAGAGGAATCCCCTGATGCAAGTTTGGCAGAAGTTTCCCTTGGATAATAGATAGGGAGTGTATCAAGTAATTCCAGATTTTATGCTGTGCTTGGTGCAGTATTGGCCATAGAACAAGTGTTAAATAAAATAATAGCAACATATGACATGGAAAGCCTGATTGATTCTCCTATTCTTACTGCTAAACCCACATACCAGATGGTAATACACACCCATAATCAAGCACAGAGCTCGCGTGGGCTGGGGGTTGGCAGCTCTGAGTCAGGTGGGCTGCCTTTTCTCTGGCCATCTTATGGAGGGGCTACACGACCCCCACCAACAGCTTATGAGGGGCAGTGCCGGTGCCTTTGAGCGATCAGAGAACCCATGAATGGATAATCCATGAATGATACTGAATTCCTTCAAAGATGTACAAAATGACATCGGCTCCCTTTACCATGAGAAGAAGTGACTTTCTAATAAGATCTGTAAATAAACCGAGGTACCTCAGCTAGAACAAGCACAGCTGGTTGCTTATGAGACACTTGGAAGTATTTATTGGCTCTTTAAAAAAAATTTACCTTGAAGACATTATGCTGAGTGAAATAAGCCAACCAAAAGAACAAACACAGAACAATTCCACTTAAAAGGGGTATCTACAGGAGACAAACTCACAGGCAGAAAGTAGAAATGTGGTTGCCAGGGGTTGAGGGTAGGGAAGAATTAGGAGGTTTTTTTTTAATGTGTTTGGAGTTTCGATTTTGCAAGACGGAAAGAGTCTTGTGGGTGGATGGTGGTGACAGTGGCACAATAAAGTGAATGTACTTAAGGCCCCTAACTGTAAATTTGAGAATGGTGAAGATGGCAAATTTTGTGTTATGTGTATTCTACCACAATTTCAAAATATGTAAATAATATAGACATAAAAATCTAATAAGTACTTATTTCTTCTGATGATCAGTGAAAACCATGGTGATCTTTCTCCCATCCTAAAATAATAGCAGATGCATTTTGAAGCATTTAAAGGCAGTCTTCCAACACTCTAATACAGGTGTTGGTTCCCCTAGAAAGTGAACTCATCTAGGGCAGAGTGATGTTGTTCTGATCTTTATGTCCTTGTGGCTTTGTGATCTTTATGTCCTTGTGGCACAGGTCCTTGAAACATGAGAGTCATAGCATCCTTGGGCTTCTATTATTAAGGCAACCCAAATGTTAAATAGACTCTTCAGTTGTACCAAAAATCAATTTTTCAGAAATCAGACCACTTACAAAGCAATTGAATTCAGTGGGAGGAGAAATGTATTTCTCTTTGAGATTTGAAGTTACATACATCAAACTTCAAAGAACACCAGAGCATTCTTTCATGCTGCATATGGTTTTTGAACTGAAGAGCTCAAACCTCTGGTGCTATGACCTCATGTTTCCCTGCAACTGTGATGCGGGACATCAAACTTCACGTTGGACCAAGCTTTGTGTGTGTTTGTCATTGACTCAGCAGAGAAGAACCTGATCAATAATCACCTGAAAGAAGACACTAGTTACATCTAAAAATGAAGCTCATGTTTGCATGATCAAAGCAGCTTCTCAGGGAACCTCATACCTTTCATTGATTATATTTCTGATTAGTGACACAGACGGCTCCCAAAACATTTCTTACTTGAAATTCAAGATGAGGCTGCTTCTCTTGCATTTATAGATTCTGCCATGCAATTAAAGTTTTATGGAGTATCTTTGTGTATTAAGGGTTTTGTCTCCCCAGTAATGTCTCCTAAGTCACTTTTGCAGTAAAAAGATCATATTTTATTAGTAAATTTGGGCTAGATCCTATGTTGAACACATTGTCTTTGTTAACCACAAACTGTTACCAAACACTTCCTGGGTGAAATATGTTTGCAATTCATAATTAATTGATTGGCTGAATCCTATGGATTGCGTAAAAATTATTTATTGAAGTGGAACCCTATTGCGCTTTCCTCTTTGTTGACAAAAGCTCACATTATGGCCTCCAAACACAGCATTTTTGTTTTTAACCTCAAAGTGGGGACAGAAGAAGTGGTTGCTGGCTGTCCTCTGGATTAGTGATTTACAGGACTAATTGTCCATTCATTTTACCCCTCACTTCATCCAGTTTTCAGCTCAACAAAAGCACATATTGTTTCATTTAGAGACATGATCCCCATAGGAGGAGAGGAAAAAGCAAGAAGATTCATGAATGATTCTGGCCACTAACAAACATCTTCCAAGCCAACCATTCAGGCCAATTCTAAACTCCATTGCTGTGTGTGGCAACATGAAGTAGAATCTCCATTTTACTAACTTAAAAATCACTAAAGAGTTTGATATACTGCCCAAATTTCAACATGGTTTAGAATCATAGAGGTGTTTACTACAAGGGATACCAGAGATCATCATGTTCAGTGATTCCCATTCTTGGTTCCATATGAAAATCACCCGAGGCACTTTTTAAAAGTGCTGATGCATAGATCCTACTCCCAGAGATTCTTATTTAACTGACCTTAGGATGCAGTATTTAAAAGTTTTAATAGCCTTTTAAAAAAGTTTTTCAGGTAATTCTATTGCACCCCCTTCTCTCCTTGCACAGGCCTGGCACATAACTAGTTTTCAATGAATATGTTATAAATGCATGACTGAATAGAGATAAATATGAGGGAACACATTATTTCCACATATGGAATTTTATAGAGATGGAATAAAACAAAGAGCCAGAAACAACCATTACATTTTTTGAATTTTGAAAATTTCTGAAATTCCAGAAACTTGCCATTTTCTTCCTAAAATGTCAAATCTCCTCATCATCACTCTAAGTCTCTTTTTCCCAGAATCCTCAACTAAAACCACCAGGCAGGTGTAAGATAGAGACAAAGAGGGATGGCTTTGCCTGTGAAGACTTTTAAAGACAATAATAAACCAATTAAAACTAAAAAAAAAAAAAAAAGTTTTTCAAGTACTTGTAATGTGTAGCCAGGGTTGAGAATCACTGATATAGCTCAACTTGCCACCTGCCTCCATTTACAGAGAGAGGAAGGAAAGTGGTTTGCTGAAAGTTGCAAGAAGACTGGCAGCAGTATGCAAGCAGGGACTTCTACATCCTAAATCTAGTACTTGAATCTTCTTGAAAATTTCTTCTACAGTATTCTGCCTCCAATTCTGTTCTTTGGAAAGTGCAAAAACATAAGTAGAGTACTATCAAGTAGGTGATTTTCATTCAACCTAGAATAATTCCAAATTGAGATTAAAGGCCAACTGGAAAGTTTATTTTAGTTTTCATTTCAAGACCTGAATCATGATTAATCCAAAAGATGAAAGAATTCCATCTGTGGTGAGGACTCTGCCAAAGGAAGACAAACAAAAGTTGGTGTGTGCCCCGAAGTATTACATACTTGTAAAATTATTACTATTATTTTTTGTAGAGACAGGGTCTCACTATATTGCCCAGACTGCTCTCAAGTAATCTTGCCTTGGCTTCCCAAACTGCTAGAAGTACAGGTGTGAGCTGCCATGCCTAGCCATTAAAATTAAACAGATTAATCAGAGGCATGAAGTTTAAAGAAGAGAAGAAAACAAAATGAAATAATAAGAGTGGTTGTAATGAAAGCTGGCCTTGGACTGATTCTAAAGATGATGCCATTCTGTTGTAAAACTCAAGTAATGAAAGCCTAAGAGAAAATGCAAAGGGCCAATAAATATGTGAAAAGATGGTAGGTCTCACCAGTGGTCAGAAAAATAAAAATTAAATTGCAATTTAATCGAAAAGATTAGGAAAAGTACAAAGATGATCATACAAGCCTGGCGAAGATGTGGGGAAAAACACAATCTGATGTACATTTGGGAACTGTTTTGCTTCCAGACAGAATCTGAACAACAGGAACGTGTAGGGTGCAGAAGATTCTGGGAGAGGAAGTCATTGGGAAACAGCTGTCATCAACTGTCATTGCCATTTAGATAGCTGAGCCAGTATGTTTAGGTCCTTGTGTGTGGTGAGCATGGGCAGCTTCTAAATCAGCACCTGAGAAGCTCATCAGCACTCAGGCTACTTTCCCTGTGTTTTGCCTCCTGCTCACATCCTAAGTCCACTCTAGCAGCAGATCTCAGGGTTATCCAACTGGAAAAAGCAATGCTTACTCACCTGTGTCTATCTGGAAATCCTCATCATCTTGCAAGTCAACAATTTGCATCCTCCTGGATAGGAGGCTTCCCACCAGCTTGGTTGCTGCCTACTGTTTACTGAGGGCTCTCACTGGTACTAGGCATACCATTTTACTTGCTCATACTGTCATTTTGTACTCCAACAATCCTACAAAATAATAATTATTTACATCCTTATTTTATATATGAGAAAACTGAGGTCCAGAAAATTTAAATGTCTCTCCTAAGGACACCCAGCATGTAATTAGCAATAAAGATCCTCATTTTTCTGGTTTAGGAGTCTTACCTGATGTAAAAGAGAAGTTTTGGGAATTAAGACATATTTACTTTTCTACCACTTTCCTCCTTAGGGGGACATTGTATCTGTTGTGGAACTGGCTAGTGGGTGGGAGGCTAGCCCAGGTCTAGTGACACCTGCACCTGAGCCTGAGTCCCCAGCTGGCATTCTCTCATCCCTGAGGCACTGCATCCTTCCCTGCCAGGGTCACTGCCAGCCCCGTCTGCCTGTTGGTGCCTGTGCCACCTCCACTGCCACTGCTGCTGCCTGCTGGAGTCTGGCCTCTCTGCCCAAGTTGGTGTCGGGGGCCATACCAAGGCCCTTCTAGTGCTCTAACTTCGATGCATTATACTTTCTGCTTCTTCTGGGAAAATGGTCACAATCTCAACATGTTCACCCCACTTTACTCTCTTAAATTTGGGCCCTTCGGCCTGCCATCTATCAGCTCCCTCCCTGTGTCCCATGGAGAACAAGAGAGAAGCCTTCCTCCTCCTATGGCAGAGTTTATGCTGTCCCTTCTCTCACAGACATGCCGGGAGAGGCAATACAATGGTTCATGGATACAGGAGAGACTTTGACCCCACCAAGATTCCCAGCCTCTTGATATGGATGTGGCACAGTGCACCTAGGCTTACGGTGTTTGGCCCCGGCATTCACCAATCAAACTTTAGGAGAATCTTTCATGAACATGAATCAACAATGAAGAATATCAAGGTTGACACTCGCCCACCCCTAACTCTGAACAAAGAATCAGGGCACTTGGTATCATGAAGAATTGCTTCAAGGAGATTAACCAAGAAAATCAGAACTTCAGGACTTCCTATGCTTGAGCCCTGGCCGGGTAACTGAGATGGGGGTAGGGGACGATCTGCAGGAGCCCTCTGCCATTATTGGGGCATCCCCTGTCCAGAGTGGGTTCCTAGGAGGCAGAAAGGAACAGGACTTGGGGAAAAGGTGCCACAAAGGGAAGGCTGCGGGCCCCGGAAGCAGAGGAAGCAAGGCCCTAATGTATGTTTGCCAGAGGTGGAGGAAAGCAATTTCACCTGGATGAGAGGCAGAGACTGACAAAGAAAAAAAAAGCTGGAGGAAAAAGAAAAAGAACATGCTCTAACAGGAGAGATTTATTTTTTCTTTTAAACATTTTACAGAAAAGATAGAGAAGCGGGGAGGAGGGAAAACAGAGAAGTGAGGCTGATGGGTCCCTTGTGGGGAGGGGCCCCATAAAGGAGATGGGCGCCCAGGGACCCTATGAGGAGGCTCGACGCCTACAGTCTGGGGCCTGGGATGACAGACATCATGGGCAAGGCAGGTTGAGAGGCGCGTTTGCTGATGCTTTTCCATGACTTCACCTTATCCTGAGCACCAGGTCAGAGGGCTGTTCCGAGGGAGCTGGGGAACTCCTAGAAGTCTATACTTTCTCATAGGCACCCACTTTTCTTCCCATTACGCAACTCGCACCCCTAGGCTAAGGTGTCTTCAACACAAAGATTACCTCAAGGTTAATTATTTAATTCTACAAACAAGAAAAATAATGCAGTAAAGGGAAATGTGAATAATTTATCTGAGAAAACAGCTCTTGACTTTAAAAAGAGAAAATGGAAAACACCAAGTCTTTTACTTCAGCTATAAAAATGGTCCTTTTTTGATAAAAATGTGTATTTTGAAAAATAAATAAATAAAATGGTCTTTGTGGACTCTTGTGGCCAAGCAGAAAGGGCACCGGGCCAGGAGCAAAGCATTTACCTTCTGGCAATGGACCTGTCACACACCTGCTGGGTGACTGTGGGTGAGTTGTTTACTCTCTAGTCTTGTTAGCTCCTCTGTAAAATGATGAAAGGATATTGAAGTTCTCCTCCAGATTTAAGTTTCTATTTGTGTTATAAGCTTTTTAATTAAAAATTGTACAATGCTAACGGCATCATTATTAGAATATCTAGAAAGTATTTCCCAACACTCACAAGAAAATGAAGTCACTGTAAGATCGTGTTTGTCATAATACGTGTCAATTCGCCTGTGCTCTTTTGAAAGCCATTGTCACTTTCCATCACTCCTTTAATCATGCACTGTATTCACTCTTTCTCCTTGTAACTTTTTCCTTCCACAAACAGCATTAAAGCTGCTTCTTACTAGAACCTTTTTAAAAGGGACAAAATATTTTCTCCAAAAAAATCCAACTAGGGTCGACTATTTTGGGTAAAGCAATGACAAAACAAATTTTAAGATTCAGTTTTGAGCAACAGTTTCCACCCCCTCTGCACATAATCATATAGCCACCCTCATGCATTTTATTTTCCTTTTCATAGGTCCCCATGACCTCAGGCCCTAGTCCGCTAAGTAATTTTCCTCCCATCAAGCCCATTTCTACCAATGCTGCATGCACAGCACTACACACTTTTTCTTTTCTGAAACACTGCTTCCACCCTTCACCATCTGTATTTATGCAGAATAAAGTCCAATATCTTCATGAACCCTCAGAACTTTCTTTCCGCACTGGTCTGTGTCTCTCTGAGCAGCTTTAGCCACCTGCACTCCCTTACACAGCCTGTTTCAGCCTGTCAGAAGATTCCCTGTTCTAGGCACATTCCAGACCCTCTTCACTTGAAACATCTCCCCCGCCGCCCCCCACCGCGTTCACTCTGTCAATCAAACCCCAGTCATCTTTCCAAACTCAGCGGAGACTCCCACTCCCCTCTGTATAGGAGCTTTCCCTGAACTCTGCATCTTGAAGGGTGCTGTCTCTGCTTTGTAAGGTCCACAGCCTGAAGCGGCAAAAGAAATGACCAAATTAGACTCAGAGATATTTCCCAATGGGGCTTGGATTTCCTTAGCAGAGTGAGTCCATTTTTAGTCGGCATGAGCGTAAGGTCTGCCTAAAATATGGTCAGATGAGACAGAAGTCAGAGTACAAAAGGAGGTCCCTGCCCAGTCTCCATGGTACAGGGCTGGGGAAGCCCGGGGCGAGCCGGCTTCCTGGGAGTTGGAGAACATGAGGAAGGGGCAGAAGCTGTGGGGCCTGGGATTGGAGGCAGGAATTCAGATTGCACCAGTGGAGGCTGCTGTGGGTGGCTTCACCTTCACTCACCAAGTGTGGTCATCTGGGTCCCGACTATTGTGGCTCTCTACCTTCTACCACCTCCACCCTCCAAAAAATCTTTTTAGAGTAATTAGAAGAGGTTTGGTGAAAGTTGAATTCCCTAAGGCCCTAGAGGTATGACTACTTGGGTTTTTTCCCTCCAGGGTACAACATAATTTACTCTTAATCCTTATTCCAATAGGCCAAAGGGAACTTTGTGATAACCTGCAAGTGGTTGTTTGGCTGTGGCCTGATACCCACAGCATTCAGGTGACTTGCCTGGGTGATAATGAAAATGATAATATAATTAACACATTACAGAGCTCTTACCATGTGGTAGACACTGTTGTAAGTATTGTCACTCATTCATGTTTTTAATGCTCATAACATTTCAATACAATGGTTACCATTATCATTCCAGTTATATAATTGAGAAAACTTTTAGTGTCAAAAGGTTAGCTGCTTTGCCCCAAGTCACACAGCTACTAAGTGTCAGAGTACAGCCCAATAACTAAGGTTTTCATTTTGTTTTGTTTCAATTTAGAGGAAGAGCCTTCGCCAAACCTTTTCTACCATGAAGCCAGGGGAGAAAAACTCACATATTTGTAGGAGGCAGAGTCTTCAACACTCCCCTGACTTTTCCTCTTATGGCATCCTCTGGGATCTTAGGGCCTCTCATTACCTGAAATGTGAAAATGGCATGTTTAATTATTCATTTTCCATCACCCCTAATGAGGGGATTAACTGTCTAGTGAAACAAAAGGAAATAGTCTGACCTTCAGGCTGCATGGATGTGATAATCACTAAAACCTCAAGTCAGTTTAAGCAGACAAATGAAAGGATTTTACTCATCTGGATGCACAGGGGCCATCGGGGTCACTAATTAAAGTCACATAATGGAGCAATGACAATGAGAAAATAAACGTGCTAAAAATTATGTTTCCTTAATTATGTGCACAGGTGCTCTACAGGAGTTTCCAAAGCTCCTTTAACTTACCTGATGTCTTACGGCTTTGAGCTTGGGTGGAGAAAGGGTAACAGGGCTGTGGCTTGCCGGGAAGACAGAGGAGGAGAGTCTGTGGGCATGGGGCAGGAGTCAATTCTGTCTCAGGTATGGAAGAGCATGAGGAAAGTAGAGGCTAACTTAGAGATCTATTAGTCACAACCTCAAGAACAACCGGTTCATTTTTCATTACTTGGTTGATTGGTTTGACCAAACGTTACTGTGGGAATGATTCGTGAACTATTCTGCTACATGGCATGTAAACACAGCCTTCTAATCTAGACCTTTGCTATTAAAATGGTCATAAATAGCTGCGAATTACTACTGTTGTGCAACTCGTGACTTCATCATGGCTTCTGGCAGTGCAGATGGGAGCCACATTCCAGGCCCTGCTGCAGTGCGCATCTTTCCCGTAACATTTAATGAGCACAGGGTGATTGGTGCTGCACAGATGACAAAATGGCATCCTCCTTGCCCTGTTCTCTTCCAAGATAAGACATTTTTAAAAGGCCATAAAGCCTTGAAAGTCTCCCCACACAGATATTGCGTGACCTATAAATATGCATCTGCTCAAAATATGGCAAAATGCATCACTATTAATAACTCCAAAGAGTCATGGAGATTCAGACAGTCCAATTCCTCTGCCAAAAGTTCAGAATGTTTGCTTAGTGCTTTGATTTTTTTTTTAAAACTCTGTTCTTGGTTTGCTTCAGTACATTTTCTATTTAGATACTCCACCGAGTATGTGTCAAACTTTATCTGTGCCCTTACTTGGACATAAGAGAGCATACAAGACAGGAATGGAAGGCCTTTAACGTTATTGGGGTTTTAAAAATTGTGCTTGCTTCACAAATATTTTCCATTTCTCTCTACCATAGCAACCATTACCTTCACCATATATGCAAAAATGGCTAAAGGAAAAGTGAGGAAACTCTTCTACGTTACTTATACTGATAATTATATTGTATTATTACCTATTTCTTGAACAATAACTGTTTCTAGGCACGGTGCTCCTATACGTCATTGCTAAGCCTCAATGTTGAGTTAATAATCAATCCTATAAAGTGGGTGTTATTACCATTTCACACACCAAGACTCAGCAATTAAGTAACTGGCCCATTGGACACACAAGCGACTCTCAGGACTGTAACTCAAACCCAAGGAAGGCTCTTTAGCTTGTGCCATATGAAACTACCAGTGGTAAATCATTCCTGACCAAAAATGGCAGTTTTATGGCTCAACCTAATAGCAAAATGTGTTGCCCTGGAAGGAAATCTAGACTCTCTTCCTGATGTCACAAAGACCCTTTGCAGACTGACATCATGTTGCAGGGAAAACTGTATAACACAGTACTGGGGTAGAGGGATAGGCGAATGGGAATGTAGTTTATTATCTTTGCAGCAATTATTGATATTATTACAAGTAAAGACATGATGTGAAACTGCAAAAAAGTAGCAAAGCCTGACAATATGTCTACATTTTTGGATATCTGAAATATATTTACATTTTTAATACACTTACTTTTTTGGATACATTGTATCTGAAAGTTTCCACATGTAATCATGCTCACCAGACTTTTCTAAGGGTTGAAATGACTTCTAGTATTTAAAAGCTAATGATGTTAAGATATAATTTTGGTAGGCCATGTGTTTTAATGAACAGGTAGTTGATGAGTCTATAACATGGATGTATTAAAAGGATAATTTGGTAAAAGCAATTTAGTTTCTTGGGAACTACTTGGGAGTCAATAGATAGAAGCTATTGTTTAGGACAAATGATTTCTCTGAGTTCTCTCTTAGAAATAATGCATAATAAATTCAAATCTTCCCCCTCCTTTTTTTTTTTGAGATGGAGTTTTGCTCTTGTTGCCCAGGCTGGAGTGCAATGGTGCCATCTCGGCTCACTGCAACCTCCGCCTCCTGGGTTCAAATGACACTCCTGCCTCAGCTTCCCCGGTAGCTGGGATTACAGGCATGCACCACCACGCCCAGCTAATTTTGTATTTTTAGTTGAGAAGGGGTTTCTCCCTGTTAATCAGGCTGGCCTCGAGCTCCCAATCTCAACTGATCCGGCCGTCTCAGCCTCCCAAAGTGCTGGGATTACAGGTGTGAGCCACCGTGCCCGGACCAAATCTTCCTTTTAATTCAGTTTTTTCCCTGTGATCCATATTATAGTTTTCCCCATATAATCTCCATATAGTCAGAATGGGAAAGGGGGCTCATGATGATAATTGCATGTAATGTAGAATGGCTACTGAACAGTGGATTGTTAAGTGCATAAAAATTGGGGAGACTTTGTGTTACAAGTTTTGGGGCAAGAGATAAACAATAGGAAAAGGCTCAGTCATTGAGTCTTAGAAAGAGATTTCAGGCACTGAAGGAAATTCATTTTACTGAAAAAGAAACGAACGAACAAGAAAGCCCAGTAAGTGACAGCTTCACTCACTGGTGGTATCACAGTGACTAACATTTAGTTCTCTTGACTCCTGGACCAGTGCTCTTGCCCACTCCCCAGCCCCACCTCAAACCATAGGTTGGTTCCAAGTAAATATGTCTTCTCCTTGAAACCATCTGGTATAGATAATAATAATAAAAGATGTGCCTAACAAGTAATTATATTACAATATCAAGTATCCTAGGTGATATATTTAAGATGGAATGGAATAAACTAGATTCTTCATATTTGAAACAAGATGATCAAATAACTTTTTTTTTTCTTTTTTTGAGATGGACCTCACTCTGTCGCCCAGGCTGGAGTGCAGAGGCACGATCTCGGCTCACTGCAACCTCCACCTCCCGGGTTCAAGTGATTCTCCTGCCTCGACCTCCTGAGTAGCTGGGACTATAAGGCATGCATCACCATGCCCGGCTAATTTTTTTTATTTTTAATAGACACAGTGTTTCACCATACTGGCCAGGCTGGTCTCGAACTCCTGATCTCAGATGATCTGCCCCCCTCGGCCTCCTAAAGTGCTGGGATGACAACCATAAGCCACCATGCCTGGCCAATCAAATAACTTTTAGTCAACTCTTAAAGGCTAAGTGAAGAAGACATAGACTTATTACCACAATCCAGTCTGTTTGGTCTTTCTTAAGGCCAGAAAGTGTGAAAATATTTCTTTTCTATTCTCCTTTTTCTAGACTTTATATTTACCTCCTGTATGGAAGACATCAGATTTCAGATACTTAAGAGTACACTTGATTTGAGTTTCTGACTCAATATTTTGAATGGAAATCTGAACCAAAACAAAGTTAATGATAGCTTTACTGTATTACCTGTAAAACAAACAAAATAAGTGAAAGGGAGAAGAAGTGCTTTAAATGCAAGAATTCCTAATATCTTTTTTAGTATAAAGATAAGCACATATAAGGAAAAAGAAGACAAGAATATTCATTGATGGATGGATGGATGATTCAGTTGGTTTCTACATTAGCAATGACTCATGCTGTAAAATTGGAATGTTTAGAAAATAAATCCTACAATTGTACCAGAAAAGACAAGAACATAATATGATAGAGATCCAAGCATGCCAAAAACATCATTTTCTTTTCTTTCCATATATGACTTTTGAGTGTTCTGAATACTACCCTTGCGTTTAATGATATAGAAAAAGGAAATAAAACGGTAATCACAGTCTGTCAGAAACTGTGTTCCTTTCTGAATGAAAATACATTCTTCTAAAACAGTATTTATGAATAGTTCTAGATTCAAGAATTTCTATTAATATTTCCACATTGGTCTTAAATAGAATCTGTGAGAATGGTCCTTTTTCCAAGTATGTAAACATTGCTCAGTGTAGCCGCTTGGAGTCACTGAGTTTATACACCTGTACCTGCATTGATGCAAATGTGCTCTCTGCCTTGTGTCTTCATTGGAAAGTCAGCTTTATGACTGGCATGGAATGGATTGGAGCCTGAGAAACTGTGGGCTGATGCTGGAGGTGCCCAGATGGAATGGGAGGCAGGGCTGAACTAGAAAGTCCTTTTCAATTGCTAATAGTGGCTTCTTTAAGCAACACTTTATGAATATGACTGGGCCACCTCTCAGTCTTTTTTTCCTGGACTAAGGAAAAGCTAATAGTAATTTCCTGTTTTCCTCATGCTCTTCAGTTTTAGGAGATCTCACAGAAGTACAAGGGCGCATGGTAGTGCAGAGGGAGTGGCAAAAGGGAAAAGGAAGGTTTTTGAGGGGGTCTTATCTGAATATTAGGCCCAGAAGTTCTCAAACTATTCATTCTGAGAGAGGGAGAAGGAATATCCATTAAAATTATATGTAGAACATGTATTCATTCAAATGGATGTTGTCACTGCTAGTGTGAGAGCAGTGAGTATAAAACCACAGTGGAGACGATCCCCGCTTTCAAGGCATTTACAATGGACAGAAGAGCTTATGTAGTATGTGGTGTGCGGAGTGTGGCAGGAAGGAAAAGCTTTATGTGTGATGGTAAGTAGCCCTCAAAAAGGGGATAGTAAGTGATCTGCTACTGAGGTAATAGCCGGTGTTCCGGTGCTCCTCCTGAAATAGATTACAACTGATGCCCAAAATGGTATGTGAATTGTTATCCCTTACTGTCTCATGTGGCCTTCTCACTGCTGTGCTCTTCTAAAATGTTACTGGAAAAGTCAGCAAACTCAGTATTTGACAGTGTGAAAGTTTTTCAGATCCCATTCTTTCTTGATAGGAGCGAGAAGGGCCAAACTGAAGCACCTGGTTCGCAGGGGAGAAGGGGACGGGGAAGTCCATTGGTCAGAGATGAGTGGTGGCTGGGAATCGAATCTCACTCAAATTAACTCAAATTAAAAACAGGAGTTAACTGTAAAGATTAAGCCAACAATTTTGCACACATCCACCAGCAGGAAACAAAGTCCAGCTAGACTTCATAGCCACCAAAGCTGGGAAAGAGAGAGACTGAAACTCAAGTTGATTGGTCTGTAGTCTCCCACTCTTTCTTTCTCTCTTTTGTTTTTTGACTCTCTCTTTTGAGTCTCTTTGCTTTTAAAAAAATATTATGGCCAGGCGCGGTGGCTCACGCCTGTAATCCCAGCACTTTGGGAGGCGGAGGCGGGCGGATCACGAGGTCAGGAGATCAAGACCATCCTGGCTTACACAATGAAACCCCATCTCTACTAAAAATAGAAAAAATTAGCCGGGCGTGGTGGCGGGCGCCTGTAGTCCCAGCTACTCGGGATGCTGAGGCAGGAGAATGGGGTGAACCCGGAAGGCGGAGCTTGCAGTGAGCCCAGATTGTGCCACTGCACTCCAGCCTGGGCGACAGACTCCATCTCAAAACATAAATAAAATAAATAAATTAATAAATAATATTGTTATTAATTCCCTGTGAGTGTTGCATACTCTTTGCTTTTTAAAAGCATGTCTGATTTCCTTTGTTCATAGACTTTGGCTTTGTCTATTTATAATCTTGCTCTTAAGTAGCTTTAGTTGTCCTTGACTTTGGCTTGCACTGGCACCAACCTCAGCCCTCGCTGGTTGGGAGCTCTCAGCTGCAGTCCATAGTCACTGACCGTAGTTTCTGTAACCCGGCTCAGAATCGTAAGAGAGAGTCTGATTGTTGTGGTCCACGAGTCTACCCCTGGTCTCATTGGAGTGGGGCAAGGCAGACATGGAGTGGGGATAGGGCCACTTAAGCCTGTCCTTTCCAGCAGCGACTGTGAATAGCAGGAATTCTCTGAGATGGGAGCTGGGGAGGCAGCATAAATGCCCCAAAGCATGTCAACTACTACCCAAAAGCAAATGCCTCCTTTTCACAGACTGGCATGTGGCTAGCCTTACTTGGAAATGGTAAGACCTTATTTGCTATGGCATAAAACCAAGAATAGTCTTTGGAGCATGGATAACAATTTGGAGCATGGGTAACAATTTGGTTTCTGGTTCTTCTTCTACAAATTGCACAGAAAATAAACTGCTGCTGTAATGGTGGCACGGCCATCACAGGGAATCTTTGGGTGAACTGAGGAGACAGTGCTGGGGACTAAGGTACTTTTCATTCATTCATCCGAAAACTGTAGCAAGCACCTACTCCGTGCCTTGTGCTAGAAGAGCAGAAGAGTCGTATAGCCTCCAAAAGTGTACTGTGCCAACTGCTCTTTGCAGTTTGTGTTTGTCGGCTCTTCACTGAACCACAGTTTAGATTTCACCACTGAGAAGTTCCCAAAATACTCTTGGAATCCATTGTACATAAAAATTTCTAAAAGCAGAGTATTAACAAATTTAGATACACAAACAATGATAATTTCTGGCTCTGAAAACTAAGTTCAGTCCAGTGCCTGCAAACAAAAACTAAGCAGAAGGACTAAAATAAACAAAATATTATCAGCCCTGCCTTCCCTTCTTCCCTTAGGCGTGGCTTTAATGTGGGCTTCCAGTCATGAGGAAACTCCCTATGTTTGCTCTAGGGAGATGTTTATGTGTGTTTTGATTCTTTAAACTCTAGGGATAAAGAGCTGTAAGAAAAAGGAAGAGGGTGCTCGTTTAAGAAGTTGTAATTAAATGTGTGTTTTGAGGGATGTATTTTCTACAGGTACATTTATCTTTATAGACATATGAGTTATTTTAGGTATTTCTGGTTGATACAGATAGAAGATCAAATTAGGCCTCAGGAGACTTCAGTTCAAGTCCTGACTCTGCCAATATAAATGTAAATGTGGGTAAATCCCTTGCTCTCCATGATCCTCTTCTTCTTTGCTTTTTTGCCTAATTTATCAAGTTATTAAGGGAATCAACTGAGGGGCTAAATGTTAGGGCTTTTTGAAAATTGCAAAATATCATTTAGTAAGTGTTTGAATTCGACTGGGTATATTTAGTACTTAATTTAAAAAATCAATATTGCTGCCTGATCTTGCTACTAAAGCAATCTTATACAGTCTTACATATCTACTTTTGGTAATTATTTAATCAAATTCCATCTCAAATATATTTTAAACCAGCAGAGTTAACTTACATAGTGGCACTATTCCAAGTTTGTTTTCTAATATATGTAATAGAAGCTCATTAAAGCACTCATTAAAAATGCAAACACATCTCCAAAGCAGATAATTATTAAACAAAGCAAGTAATATCTGTAATATCCTTTTAACGAAAAGTCTACTTTTAAATATTGGTTTCTCTTAAAGCAATGGATAGATTTTGCAAGTGAATCCAATCCACAGACTTGCTAAGCCCAGATTATGTTTATGAAAGGTATTGTGTTAGGTGCTGTAGAGTGACAAGATACAAGAAAACTGCCTCTGCCCTCAATGTGCTTAAGAGGACAGGATACAGGGGAAGCTAAATATAGGTGAATTAATTTATGTGAACAGCTGTACACATTACATTACTATTATATCTATCCATATATAATATATAATATATAATGTGTATTATATATAAAGAAGATAAATAATCCTTTAGTCCTAAAATAAAGCTGCATCAGTTTTAAAGATGAACAATTATTGAAATCAAAGTTTATCTAATTAGCTCAAATAACATTTATATTATCAGAGCATGTTTAGCTAATGTGTAATATAAGATACAGATAATCTCTAAATAGCAATGACACTAAAATATTCCTAAAAAATCTAAAAGTATGATTAACTATGGGATATGATACTGTACAGAAATGGGTTTTCCATGGGGCTGGAACACTGAAGCACAGACGTAGTGCTCAGGAATGCTTAGACAATGACTCTCCTCGCTCTTCTCCCCGAGATGAGGATGTGGTCTTCTGATATAAAACTTGGTTCAGAAACAAGGAGACCTCAATTATTGTAAGCATTTTCTTAAACTGAGTCATTAAATATAGAGAGTGTTTACATAAATGCTTCTCTGGCTAGGAATGTAAACACTAAATATAAAGTACCTGAGACAGAGTAAAAAAAAACCAAGCTTCTCAGATCTGTCTGACCCACAAATGAGCCAAAAGTTGGAGTTACCAGAAAAGGAATTTATAATACTTATGATTAACATGAAAAATAAATAGTGAAATGATGAATAAAAGGAGAATTTCACTAGAAGGTTGGAATCTGTGAAAAAATCACATGTATATTTTAGAACTCTAAACACTGAAAAAATATTTGAAATTAGGAATTCAAATGGATAAGTTTACAGCAGATGACACACAGCATAATTAGTGAATAATGGGCTGGATCAGTGAGCTGGAACCCAGATAAATAGAAAGTATCTACTCCTGAAGCAGGAAGAGAAAAAAGAATGGAAACAATGGCAAGAACAAGATACACATGAAACTTTTCACATATATATAATTGGAGTTCCAAAAAGGAGAGAGAGAATAGAGGAGAAGCAATATTCAAAGAGATAATGGATAAGAATATCTATGTATTGATGTAAGAACAAGGAGCAAGATAAAGAAAACTGTAGCTAACCACATCATAGTCAAACTGTTGAAAACCAAAGATAAAGAGAAAAATCATAAAAGCAGCCAGAAGAAAAAAAAGAAATTAGCTTCAAAGAAGCAACAATAAGATTCACAGTTGATTTATCAACATAAATTATAGATGCGAGAAGACAATATTGTCAACTTTAAGAGCTTAAAGAAAATAATTGCCAGACTAGAATTATATCTTGCAATCATATCCTTCAAATATGAAAGTAGAATAAAGATGTTTTCAGGAAAACTAAAGGATGTTCTTCAGGCAGAAGGAAAATAATCTCAGCCTAGGCAACAAAGCAAGACCTTGTCTCTACAAAAAAAAAAAAAAAAAAAATTGTGGGCACAGTGGCACACACCAGTAGTCCCAGCTACTCAGGAAGCCGAGGTGGGAGGATTGCTTGAGCCCAGGAGGTTGAGGCCGCAGTGAGCCATGATCACGCCACTGCATTCCAGCTTGTGTGACAAAACGTGAGACACCTGCCTCAAAAAAGAAAAAAAAAAAAAAGAAAGAGAGAGAGAAAGAAAAGAGAATTCCAGACAGAAAAACATGGAAATGAAGGAAGGAATAAAAAACACTGGTGAGGGTAAACATGGATATTTGTAAGTCACTATTGATTATAAAAGACAGTAATTATAACGTCGTTTGTAGTATAAAATATATGTAGAACTAAGATGTGTGGCAAAAAGAACAAAATCAGGAGGGATAAATCATTTAAAAGGTCAAAGGGTCTAACAGTATCAGAGGAGTGGCAAAGATAATTTGTATAATTCTGTAATAAATCAAGGATATATATTGCAATCTCTAGGATAGTTACTATTAGAATTAAAGAAGTAAAACTTGCAAGTTTTTAGAATGAAATCCTTGAATAATTAAAAAAATAGAGGAAAGAGAGGGCGAAAAAAAGAACATAAAATGACAACAAAAGGAATATAAAAGAAAAGAGCACAATAGAAAATGAAAAATAAGATGGTAGCTATAAGCCCAATGATGTCAGTGATTACACTGAATGTAAATAAGCTAAATTTGAAGTAAAATACTGTCAGATTAGATAAAAAACAAACCCAAATCTTCAAATCTAATAAAAAGAAATGTTTAATGTGAAAGGAAAGCCAAATATACCATGCAAACACAAACCTGCCCCTGCTCCTAAAGCTGTCTAGCTATACTAATATCAGACAATGTGAACTGTAAGGCAAGAAACATTATTAGAGATAAAGTGAGACAGTTCATAATTATAAATAAATAAGTCCAATAGGAAATGAGCACAATCCTAAATCTCTGTGCACCTAATAATATAGCTTCAAAATAAACTAAACAAAAATGGACAGAACAATGAGAAAAAAATGTACAAATCAGCACTCACAGTGGGAGGCATTAGTGCATCTCTTTCAAACACATAGCAGAAAAAGTGAAAAATAAAAAAATCAGTAAGGATATAGAAGATATAAACAGCACAGTTAACATATGTAATCTAATGTCATGTATGCAAAATGGTACCTAATGACCACTTCATATTCACTTCAAGTATACAAAGAACATAAGAACATTTATTACAATCAATATATCATAACAAGAAAAAAGTCTCAACAATTTCAAAATATTGACATCTTTCAGAATGTCTTCTCTGACCACAGTGGAAGTTAAGCTAAAGATCAATAACAACAACAGGAAAAACCCAAGTGCTCAAAATTAAACAATATACTCTAAATAATCCATGGGATAAAGAAAAAAAACAGAAATTAGTTCTTAAACTTAAATAATAAAAATCACATTTGAAAAATCATGTGAAAAAACTAAAATGGTGCTTAGAAGGAAATATATAGTCTTATATTCCATATTAGAAAGGAAAAAGCCTGAAAATCAATGATTTAAGTGTTAATTTCAAGAAAGTAGAGAGAGAGCAGGAATCAAACTTACAAAAAGAAATGATAAAGATAAAAGCAAAAACCAAGGAACATATAAGAAAGACAATAAAGCCAAAGTCAGTTGTTTAAAAACATCAAAATCTAAAGAAGACTGATCAAAAGAAAAAAAAATAGACAAAACAAATTCGCAACAACAGCAATGAAAAAGGAGATATCACTATAGATCATACAAGCATCAAAAGGACAATAAAAGGAAACTTAAAACAAATTTATGCTGATAAATTTGACAATTTGGATGAAATAAACAAACTCTTTGAAAATACAATTTACCAAGACTGACAGGAGAAGAGATGAAAATATCAATAATTTAGGATGTATTTTTTTTTAAAATTAAGCCCATTATTTTAAAAAAGAAAAGCCTGGGCTCAGATAGTTTATCAGTGAATTCTTCCAAACACTTAAGGAAAAATTAACAGCTGTCTTGTATAATTCTTCCAGAACACAGAAAGAGAAGGTGAGCTTTCCAGACTTAAAAAAAATTGTAATAGCATAAACTTGATTTTTAAACCCTGACAAGATTGTGAGAAAGAAAACTGCAAGCCCATCTTTCTCATAAACATTACTTAAAAATTCTTAACAAAATATTAGGAAGCCAAATCCATTGATACAGTAAATGGAGTGCAAGTTCAGTCCAAGTGTACAAGTGTGGCTTACCATTCAAAAATCATAAACATAATTCACCACATTAACAGAAAAAGGAGTAAAATCATACAATCATCTCAAATGCAGAAAAAGCATTTGATAAATTCAACATCCATTTGTGATGAAAACACGTAATCAATTAAGAACAGAACTTTCTTAATCTCATAAAGAATATCTACAAAATATCCGTAGCAAACATCATTCTCAATGGTAGTATGTTGAAAACTTCCCCCTAAGACTGGAACTGGGTCAAGAATGACCACTGTCATCATTTCAGTCTAACATTGTAGAAGGAGGTCTAGCCAATGCAAAAGGTCAGAGAAAGAAATAAATGTCATGGAGATTGGAAAGCAAGAAATAAAATTGTCATTTCCAGACAATAAGATCATGCACATTCAAAATTTCTAGAGAATCTAAGGACAAATTCTTAGAATTAATAAGAGAATATAGGAAGGGAACCGGATATACAGTCAACATATAAAAACTAGTTGCATTTGTATATATTGGCAATAAACAAATAGAAAATAAAACATATTTACAATAGCATCAAAAAACTCAAACACCTAGAAATAAATCTAATTAAAGATGTGCAAGATCTCTAACTGAAAACTAAAATATTATTGAGAAAAATTAAAGGAGAGCTAAATAAATGGAAGTATATGCATCATTATAATTGGAAGACTCAATATTGTAAAGATGTTAGTTCTCTCCAAATTAATACATTCATCTATGCAATTTTGGTCAAAATCTAAGCTACAGGTTCTTCTTTTTCCAGAAATTGACAAGTTTTCCTAAAATTCATATCAAATGTAAAAGTTGGAAATCATCAAGTTATTCTTGAAGAATAAATATACAGGACTTACACTGTGAGATATCAGAAACTATTATTATAAAGTTATGACAATCAAAACTGTGTGGTACTAGTGCAAGAACAGATAACTGTCCAATGAAACACAACAGGGAATCCAGAAGTAGACCTGCACATATATGGTGGCATGATTTATGATAAAGGTGATCCTGCAATGCAGTAGGGAAAAGGATAATCTTTCAGATAAATTGTGCTGTGTCAATTCAACATTCAAGTGGAAAAAAAGGTATTCTAATGTTTATTTCACATTACACACAAGAGTCAATACCAGACAGATTGCAGAAATAATTGAAAGATGAAACAATAAAACTTCTAGAGTAGAACATCTTCATGACCTTGGAGTCAGCAATCCTTTGTTAAATAGAAAATAAGCAAATGAAAAAGCATTAATCATAAAAGGAAAAAATGTGATAAACTTGGCTACATTGAAACTAAAAACTTCTGTTCCCCCAAATTGAGTGAAAAGGCAACCCACAAGGTGAGAGAAAAATATTAACATATATTAATTTATATCCAATGCAAACACACATATATATGATTAAAAAACACAAATCTAGAATGTATAAAGAACACCTGCAAGTCAATAAGAAAAAGTTGAACAACTCAACAGCATAATGGGCAAAAGTCTCATAAAAGAGATGTGTAAATAAACATACAGAAAATTGTTTATTAATTCTCAGGGAAATGCATAATAAAATAACATAAAACCATAATAAAATAACACTTGCTATCCACGAAAATGGCTAAGATGAAAAAGATGGAAAATAATAAGTGTTGACAAGGACGTGAAGGAATAAGAATTATCATATACCACTTGTGGGATAATAAATTGGTACAACCACTTTGGAGAAGTGGGAGTTACTACTAGAGTTGAACATATGCATAACCTGTAACCCATCAAACAGATTTCAAGGCATACACCTACTAGAAATGTATGCACATGTTCACCAAAAGAATTAGAATCGGGGGGAATTTGGGGGAACAGAATGTTCATGGCAACAGTACTTGTTAGTAGACAAAAATTGGAACAACCATTTGTTGGATGGTTGGAACAAATGGTTGTTCCAATTTTTGGAACAATGTTCCAAATATTCCAATGTTGTTCCAACAAACCGGCCCATGAACAACAAAATAGTTAAACCAATTGTGATATAGCCACAGAATTTGGGCTATATCAGTAGCAGTAAGAATGATTTACAACTACATACAAAAGTATGGATGAATCTCTCCAACATAAAGATGAGCAGTAGAAACCAGACACAAAAAAGCATATATTCCATTTATACAAAGTATAAAAACAGGTGAGCTAATCTATGTTGTTAGATGTCAGCAGAGTGGTTACCACTGGGAAATTAGTGACTAGAAGGGAACAGAGGGAATTTTTGGAGAGCTGGTAATGTCCTGTTTCTTGATTTGGGTGATGGTTACAAGGGTGTGGTTGCCTTTACTCTGGTACTCCGGTTCTATGCATGGTACATGATTCTTGCCTCATGATTGTCTTTGTTGGAATTTTGCATTCCATCAGAAGGATTGGACAGAACTTAACTTCTGCTTATGTAATTGTTTAGTTCACATTCGATATACATATTTATATTGATTTTATTGAGGCTCTGCAAAATGCCTGCATCTCATGACATTCTTCTGGGCACTGGCTTTTTTCTCCACGTGGCTCCTCAGCTGTCTGATAATGTCTTTCTGATATGAGTTCTCTGTTCGTTGTCCATTTGCCTCTCTTGTGTGTGATCATCATTCTACCATATTTATGATGTATTGTCTTTGCATTCTCCGTTATTGGGCTGATAAAGGAATAGGGAGAGATCATCTTTAATAGAAAGGGCAATTTTCTGATTTGAGCAGAATCATGAGGCCATGGTATTTCCTGTATATTAAGACTTCAGGCCCACTGCTGTGGCTCACGCCTGTAATCCCAGCACTTTGGGAAGCCGAGGTGGGTGGATCACTTGAGGTCAGGGGTTTGAGACCAGCCTGGCCAACATGGTGAAACCCTGTCTCTGCTGAAAATACAAAAATCAGCTGGGCATGGTGTGTGTGCCTGTAATCCCAGCTACTCGGGAGGTTGAGGCAGGAGAATCACTTGAACCCGGGAGGCAGAGGTTGCAGTGAGCCAAGATCATGCCACTGCACTCCAGCCTGGGTGACACAGCAAGGCTCTGTCTCAAAAAAAGAGAGAGACTTCACTGATTAACTGCTTCATGCCTTCTGCCTGGGGATGACAGTGTCTTATCCAGCCCATCTAAATATTTGGTCTTATTGGCAAACGTATCTCTCTTGTGACAATGGATTTGTCATGCACAATAGCTTGATACCACTAAACATTCAAGTCATCAAATGAATTACTCTTCTTTATTATTTCACACTCACCAAACATATTTATGATTATAAACTTGGCTTCCCAAAGCTCTCTTGCAGCCAGAGAATAAATGCCAGATAGGTAGGTATGTTTTTTGGTATATACATATATATATATATATATATATATATATATATGTATTTTTTTTTTTTGAGATGGAGTCTTGCTCTGTCACCCAGGCTGGAGTTCAGTGGCATGATCTCAGCTCACTGCAAGCCCCGCCACCCGGGTTCATGCCATTCTTCTGCCTCAGCCTCCCAAGTAGCTGGGACTACAGGTGCCCGTCACCACGCCCTGTTAATTTTTTGTTTTCATATTTTTAGTAGAGATCGGTTTCACCGTGTTAGCCAGGATGGTCTCGATCTCCTGACCTCATGATCCGCCTGCCTTGGCCTCCCAAAGTGCTGGGATTACAGGCGTGAGCCACCACGCCTGGCCTTTTGGTTTATATTTTAAGTCCCTCTCCATGTGTAAAATTAGCCCTGGGACACCAAAAATATCAAGTTTCTGGACCTGTCAAGCTGGGCTAAGTCAATGTTATAAAGACGGCCCTGTCTGAAGACCCTATTGCCTATCTTGCACCCAGGTACCCCTACAAACAAACATATTAATGTTCACTGTGGCAATGCATATTCTGTTTCTAAAAATACAGCCAAGGAGCCAAGGTTCTTAGAGCCTTCCCAGGAAAGGAAATTGAGACAAAAGGAATTTAGGCATCCAGTAGTTCTAATAAATATTGAGTGAATGGAAAATTTTACTTTGAGATAAATATGAACAATCGTCATGTTAAGCATGTTTTCTATCATCTGGCTGTTTCCATGAAGTAGGAAACGCCTGTGAGCAGACTCATCCTTCAGCAACTTGTTCAGATTTGCACCTGACCTCTTCTATACAACAGCTGCCAAGGAAACCTACATTGATTTCCTACCACGTATTTTTATCACAATGCAAGAGGCAAGTAGCAGCATGTCAAAACTGCTCTCTGGAGAAAGTGATTATTATTATTTTTTATTTATTTTGCTTTCCATGCAGTTCAGAACCCCTTTGGGTACTCTCCAGTGTGTTTTGAGATTGCTGACCCTCACTCTCTACTAAAGGTCACTGAGGTTGCTCCCCACAACATGCCACCTTCGAGTCCCCAGGGGTTTTGAGAAGCCTAGGCATGCAGACCAGTGGACTCATTCCAGTCTGCAGCAGCTGAGAGAGAGCACCATGGAGAGTAAGGCAGAGCTGAGTGAAATGAGGACCTGCTGGACTCTGGTACAGCCAGGCTCGGGGGAGCCACATAATTAGTACAAACATCATTGTGTTGAGACACCTCTCCAGCTCTGTTTATTTTGCACATAAACCTAGCCATTAGGTTCAGCAAACATTTGTTAAACATCTGTGCTGCGTCAGACCACATCCAAGGCACAAGGGCAATAAGGCAAGTACTCTTTTACAGCTTTATAGTTCACCAAAGCACTTTTTACATGTTTCATCTCAGTCAACTTTGTGAAATTAAACAGTGCACATATTAGTACTGCGTTTCCATCTTACAAAGGGGAAGCTGAGAATCCAAAAGGTTGAGTCATTTACCTAGAGTTATATAGTTAATAAATGGATGTTCTGGAACAAAATCCAGGGATTTGATTCTTTATTCAATACTCTATTTGGCATTTAATTAGAAGGTGTTTCAGTTCCTTGGTATGTGCAGGAGAGAGACACTACTTTCCTTGCTTATAATTCTTTATTGCGAGTGCCACAGATAAGATGACCAATAGGGATTCATGTTAGTACTCTTAATTCTAAGAGAAAATTTTCATCTCTGACCGTTTAATGGTTTTCCCCAGATTATATTTTTATTTGCATACAATTTACTTTGTTGAATCAGATACTTTTCCAACAAAATGAGTAAGATCTAAAATTCTGAATTGGAATATTTGGAATTTTTGAATGCCCCAAGTATATATTTTCTGTTGCAAATACTTTGGCTCATGGTTTTATCCAATTTGGAATTGAATTCTATACCACCTTATATCCTATAATTATTTCTAATAATACTACAAATTCCTAGAGGAGAGCAACCATATCACGGCTCTGGGAGTGTAGCCAGGACTAACAATATTTGCTGAATGGAATTTAAATTATGGCTGACCTTGCTACTCCCTAAATGGGAAGCATTAGAACTAATTGTTAAGCATCAATCCAGAGCAAGGCAGATTTCTGTGAGAAATCTGCTTCTACCACTAATATTGGGCAGGTTATATAAACCAACAAAGCCCCATGGCCCTCATTAGAAAATGGGGATGCTAATGCCCATCTCTGAAGCCCTTTATAAGAATTAAATGAGAAGCCTGGTATATGGTGAGAATATAATAAGTGGTAGGTATTATTATCAAGACCACTTTCTTGGGTCTTTCGAGAGGTCCTTCTATCTTCTCCTATATTAATGTGATGTTTCTTTTCACTGTCACAAACTGAAAGGTCAGAGTTCCAGAGCAAATTACCCATGGAGCAGCCACCACAGAGGGCCTTGTGTTTGCTGAAAGTAATTGAATAAGTATTTGCAATAGTGCTGACTGTATAATGGAGAGAGCTGATTCTTTTCTCTCTCAATTTTATTTTGTTTAGTGTTAACGTTGGTTGGTGAATAATGGCTGCTTCAAATTAGATATTACTTTGAATAATTAGATTCCCTTTATAAAGCTATGATAAATTAGTTACTGCTACAGGAAATCCAATTTTTTAAAGGGCATAAAATAGGACTCTGAATGCTTCATATAGTTCTCTAAACTGGGTTTGTTAAATATTATCCATATTTATCAGAGAGGCAAAATTAACCCCAGTTTTGAGGGATATAATAGCGTTTAAGAATTCAATCAGATGACCTCTTCAGGCTAACAATGAGCAAAATAAAAACTAGAGCACCTGCCATTTATGACCAAAATCTCAAGAGATAACGATAATTCTAGATGCATAGTTTTGACACACTGAGTTTTTTAAAGCTAATTTTCATCTGCTTATTTTATTCCTAAAGCTGAGAATGTTAAAGTATTTAAAAAGAGGTTTGCTTGTTTCTCTCATTATATAATTATGACAAAGAAAAAAGATCATCCTTTTGCAAACTTCTCAGGTTCCTCACTTCAATGGATTTATTCTTTGAGCAGAAATTGTAACCTTCCAGTGAGATTGTAAATGGCATTCATTCTTTGATTCTTTTTCCTGTAACTTCCTTTTTTTTTTTTTTTTTTTTTTTACCATAAGCACATAGTACAGTACTTTAAGAATTAGGAAAAATCTTTTTAGTTGTTATTTTTATTTTTATTTCTCATTGAAAAACAAAAAGCAGTGTGGGCAGGGGACCATGCCACCTTCACCAAGGCTGGACTAAGAATGTGCCATCGGGGAGGACTCATAGCTATTGTGAGTTGATCACACCCAAGTTTGTTGAACCCTGAACGCTGAGAATATGGACAATTGGGCAATAAGAAATATTTAAATGTCTATTATGTGCCTAATTTTAGTCAGACTTGTATGGCTATTGCAGCATTTATGCATGGCTATAATTCTCAGACTAAAGAATAGCGCCTAGCACACAGTGGGCGCTCAGTAAATATCCGCCGAATAAACAATGCAGAGCTAAAGCAGGACAGCAATTATCATGCCTCAAACAGGGGAGGTCTGAGTCACTTCCTGCCTGAGAAGCCAGAAGAGGGTTTTTCTCTCTGAAAGTACAGTAGTTGATTCTGAAGTAGGAACCAAATTAAGCAGAAACATTGATGCACATGACTTTAAAAACTATTAAGTTTTCATTGTACTTTTTCTTCTCACAAAGGACTCTAGAATAATAGGATGTACAGATAAGGAAAAAGAAGAAATATGTTAAAAGAAACACTGTTATGGCACAGGTACATAATTTTTCATTTGATTATCTATGCATACCATATAATTAACATACATATATATTTTTTCTTTTACAAAAACTGGAACCATACCATTTTGTAATTTTTTTGCTTTGTCACCAGATAGTCCCCTGCCACATTATTTCAGTAAGAATGTATATCATACCAGATGGATGTACCCGAATTTATTTGCCCACATCCCTGTTGCACATTAAGAAAATACTGCAATGAACATGTGATACCCATCACAATAGAATACTTAATAGATTAAAGTGACCTCTCAACTATAAAGAACTTGCCTTAAGTTACTTTTCCTGAAGTAGCAATGGGACTGACGTCATTCACTGGAGAGAGAAGAGGAGTCTGTGTCTGCCCAGGGCAGTGCTAACTGGCAGGTGAAGAAACAAAACCCAGGGTTCCCGGGACTTGGGCAACAGAGGACACATTGTTATCAGAAAATCAAGTGAATTTTTTGAAGCTGAAAGGAACTTTAGAAATAGTCAATTGTTACATCCTCAATTAACTCTTGAGGTTCCTGGAGAGGTTAAATGGGTTTTTTGTTTCGTGTTTTGAGACGGAGTCTTGCTCTGTCACCCAGGCTGGAGTGCAATAATGTGATCTCTGCTCACTGCAACCTCTGTCTCCCAGGTTCAAGCGATTCTCGTGCCTTAGCCTCCTGAGTAACTGGGATTATAGGTGTGTGCTGCCATGCCTGGCTAATTTTTGTAACTTTAGTAGAGACGGGGATTTGCCAGAAGAGATGTTGGCCAGGCTGGTCTCCCAACTCCTGACCTCAAGTGATTCACTAGCCTCGGCCTCCCAAAGTGCTGGGATTACAGGCATGAGCCACCGATCCCAGCCTAAATGTTTTCTGCTGAAGCTAAATTTTATATCACCTCTTAAATCTCCTCACCTTGTAATTTTGGTAGGTTTCTGCAATCACACAGAGTTTTAATACTTTTATAATTCAAGACTCTGGGTAAGTGGAACTTTGGTCCCCACAACCACATTCTAAGTTAAAGTGCAGCTAACCTATGCAGGTCTTTCAACAGCGTGATCCTAACAGATTCTGTGCAACCCTTAGCTAAAAATCCCAGTCCAAACCTAGAAAACATGCTAAGTGAAAGAAGCCAGACACAAAAAAACACATATTGAATGATTCCATTTATATAAAATGTCCAGAATAGGCAAATCCATAGAAACAGAAAGTACATTAGTGGTTGCCAGGGGCTGAGAGAAAGGGAAATAGGAGTAACTGCTTAATGGGCATAGGACCTCTTTTTGGGGTGATGAAAATACAGACAGTCTCTGACTTATGATGGTTCAGTTTGCCTTAGGATGTTTCAACTTTACAATGGTGCAAAAGTGATACACATTCAGTAGAAACCATACTTCAAGTACCCATACAATCATTCTGTTTTTCACTTTCAGTATAGTATTCAATGAATTCCATGAGCAATTCAACACTTTTTTAAATATAATATAGACTTTGTGTTAGACGATTTTGCTCAACTGTAGGCTAGTGTAAGTGTTCTGTGCACATTTAAGGCAGGCTAGGCTAAACTATGATGTTCAGTAGATTTGGTGTAATAAATGCACTTTTAACTTATTTATTGAGTTTTTTTTGGAATGTAATCCCATTGTAAATTGAGGAGCATCTGTATTCTGTAATTAAGATAGTGGTGATGGTTGCACAGTATTGTGAATATATTAAACAATCACTGAACTGCGCACTTTAAAATTGTTACAATGGTGAATTTTATGTCATGTGGATTTTATCTCAAGTGAATTAAAAAACAAAAAACTGTCCGGCCTATGTCAATGAAGATAAGAGACAGACCAACCAGATGAGTGAGTGGAGACTGCTTAAAGAGTAGCCCCATTGTGAGCTCTTCCTGGGGAGGACATGCAGTACCTCCTGCAGAATACTGAATACTCCCATTCTATCCCCCCATTTCCAGCCAAGTAAAGGGAGCGTCCAGAGAAACATGCCATAAGCTGACCCATGCCTCCTGGAGTTCAGAAAGCACAGGAGCTGGAGTCTGAGTTTTCCCAGAAAATGTATCTCCATATAATGAAAGACACAGGATGGGGTGAGAGATCTGGTTCTATAAAAAATCTTAGGCAATTTACAAAAACCAACTGGAGCAGGCCAAGAGAAGAACAGGATGCTGTAGGAGCTGAGTGCACTTCCATAGTTGTTGGGCAAAGGTATGTTTTTCTTGTGGGTTCAAGCTAAGTTACACTGTAAAAATCCTATTAAGAGTGCTGCCCGCCAGAGTGATGAAACTCCACAGGAAGCTCCTGCATGCAGCAATCAGTGACCCCAGTGAGCTCCATCTCCAAAGAACACCCAGTGTGCCTCACGCCGAAAAAAGAGGCAACAAGATATCTGCCAGTGTATAAATTCCACCTGACTACAGGACGCGTGGTAGAGTCAAAGGAGATAAAGAATGTGAAAGCCCTTCTTAGGACATAAAGTGCTATTGAAGTGTTAATTATTAGTAAAAATGACTTAGAATCATCAAACATGTGCTATTAATTTCTTGTCTCATATCTCTAATTACTTAAATCTTTGATTACAACCTGAGAAATTGTGGAAATTACAGGGCTAGAACTCCTGTGATTTCATCACCTCAAATTACTGCCTCAGGCAGATAGTATTTCCAAACCCAGCTAGACACTCACATGACCACACCCCCTTCTCAGCATACTAGATTCAGAATTATGTCAAGTGTCAAGCCACATTCTACTATCCCTTGGAGTCATTACTGAATGGTCAAAAATTCCAATGTATTATGTCATGTGGAAGAGGCCAGAGGAATATCTATCGCATCCTATTTTAAACTCCTGAGAAGGCAACTCAACCATCTGTCTTGGCAACCCATTCCAGGTTGGAACCACCCTGGCAGAAACGTCTCTCTTCTGTTTAATCTAAATCCTTCAAATAGAACCTTGAGATAATTGCATCCCATTTCATTTTCAAATAATTTGGAACACAGTTGTTTACCATCTGGGTTATAGGATTATATAATGTCACAGGGCTGTGGTGAGCAATAAATGAAATAATGCATGTAAAACGCATAGCTCAGTGTCTGGCATATAATAAAGGCTCAGTACATATTTATTATCACCATCATTACATGTGTTAGTACTCTGTCCGTCACAAGTGACATGCAACTCAAAATAATTTAAGCTAAAAAAGGGGGTGGGGTGGAAAATATAATTAAAAAGGAAGTAAAAGTATGCAGTGGCCTTCAGGTACTACCAGATCCAGGACTCAAATAACATTTACAGGACTCCTCTTTCTCTTTCTTCTCCTTTTTTTTAAGACAAGCTTTCAAAGCATAAAAGGCAGGACAGCAACCAGCAGATTCAGTTGGGGTAAACCGTTATCTTAACCACTTTGAATAGGTTCCCTGTTCATCAGTTCATTTATCAAAAATTTATTGAATGTGTTAAGCAGGGTTCTGAGAGCTGAGAATACAGCAATACACAAAACAGATAAAACTGCTATCCTCTTGGAATTTACCTTCTAGTGGAAAGAGGGAATCTGTTAGAAGGAGAAGGGATGCTAGAAAGATAAAAATGTTATCCTCCACAAAATAAGGTCACGTCTTATACCTTAAGATCAACTCTTATCTTTCTTTCCTCCCAGCTAGTAAACTCAATCCTTTTACAACGTTCTTCCCTTTCACAAACATGTGAAATCCCCCAAATCAGGTCTTCAAATGGATAAATAGCCTTGTCTATGGATTTTGAGTGCATTTAGTTTACTTTTGCTGTGTAATCTCTGCATAATGTTTCTACAATATGCCTGTAGTTATAATAATATAACCTTCCTGTTTCCATTTTTTTGAATCACTTATTCTTTTTAGACTATTTTTGCATTAAATACAGGTCTTTCTTCTGCCTTCATGGTTTCCTTAAAATACGATGTTAATTAGTAAAATCCTGCAAAAACCTGGTCATTTATTAGTCATTTAAAAAATATTCCTCTGAGCGATTTTAATTCTATTCCTCTGTATTAACTATTCTAACTCTATAAAATTGAAGTCCTGGAGACCAAGCTTTTGAGAATCCCAGGAAGTGTGGCCTAATACTAGAAAATCTCAACTTCTGCCTCTCCCCTTTAAGTACACAGTAAGAAATGCTTGCATGAAGCATTTTAGGCTGTGTTCTTATGATAAAATTCAACTTTCATGAAATAAATTAATCTGAATCAAGTTGTCCTCATCTGAAAATGCCTAGATTTATTAGTGCTAGCCCGGCTTTATTCCACAAACAATTCTATTTAAATTAGGTGTTGGTCTAACAAATCTGCCTGACCACAGCAATGACTCACGGACCATGTAGGAAACAACTTTCACTAAATTCAAGATTGCTCAAGTGAAAAGGTGCGCGGGGGAGGGGAGGAAGAGTTGGTTGTCCTCATCATTTTTATTTTTAAGTAATATTACAAGTTATCTATCCTGCCCCAACTGTTTCCTCAATTTGGTTGCTTTTCATTCCACTGTGGTTGGCATCTTTTGTCAAGGCAGTAATTTATTTCTTTTAATCCGGATATAATGGCCAAATGGGCGATCTGACTCACTCAAATCCCATCGTTAAAACTTATCTTGGAATTAAACAAAAATGGATTTTTAATCGTAGAGCTCATCAGCCTCATAGTCTCCACCTCATTTCTGAATGGCCTTGTTCGGCTTGCACCTTCTGTGCTTGCTGAACCAAAGCGCGCTGGTCGGCCGCGGCATCTCCGGAAGGGATGAAGAGCCTCCGCGCACACGCCCCTTACTTCCCTGTCCCGCACGCGCCACGAGCACGCTTGCAAAAGACGGGGAGGTGGCGGGGACAGAGACAGAGGAAATGAGAGAGAGAGAACGAAAGAGAAAGGAGAGAGAGGGAGAGAGAGAGGGAGAGAGAAGAGGGGAAGGAGAAGAGAGAAAAAAGAAAAAAAGGTCTGCTCTGGGATTATTATTATTATTTGGGTTAATACTCTTATCTTTGCATTCCAGCCGGAAGGTCGGCTCCAAGCCTTCTTTCCTGCCCTCCTCCTTCTTGAATTGGACACCATCCCTGTTGCCGCCTCCTGAGTCAGGAAAGGGATAGAACTTTCCCAGGGAGGTGAGGGGTGTCCCCGTGGCGATTTCCCGGTTACTTCCTCCCAGCAGATATCCCTGTGGAGAGGAAACGTTCCCGACTTCCCTCCCCGCGACCTCCTCCCTAGAAACGAGCGGAGACGTCAGGCTGCTTCTGGGTTTATTTTGTAAACCCAGACAGTCAACTGCACTTGGCGCAGGCAAAGCCTCCTTGGCCCTTGCCCCAAAGCAAAGCTCTAAGAGGTCCGGGGATTCCTTGGCCTGGGTGGGGAGAGAGACGTGACCTGTGCGGCCGCCGCGAAGTGGGTCTCCAAGGGTGAGACCCCTCCCTCGGTGGCTGGGCGTGTCCCCTTTAGCCTTCCTGGACCCCATTACCGCCCGGCTTGGAGCTGGACGAAGGGACGTAATTGGTAGGCGAGTGGGTTGGGCATCTTGACTCAAGGACCAGAGTCTGGGCCTCTGGTGTGGACCCCTGCCCCCTCCCCGCTCTGCGCGGCCGTTCTAGAGGTCCGGGTGGGAGCTGGAGGAGGAAAGCGGGAGGAGGCGGCGAGGCCGCGGGGCGGTATGAGGGGGCGCCGGCCGCCTCTCGGATTGGCTGCGCCGCCGCCCCCTCCGCATCGCGCGCCCCCCACCACGCGCCCAGCCTGCTCCCTCCCGCAGGCTCCGAGCTGCTGCCCGCAGGAGGCAGGACGCGCAGGGGTGGGACCGGCGCCCCAGCCCGTCTCCCGGCCCCGGGCGCGCGGGAACCCCGGGTCCTGCAGCCTCCCGAGTGCGGAGAGGCGGGGCCGCCCGCTGCCGCCCGGCTGCCTGCGCCCCCTCCCGCGGCCCCGGCTCTGGGAGCGGGGCGCCCCGCGCGCGGGCACACGGCGGCCAGAGCGCCGAGGCGGTACCTTCAGCCTGCAATGAGAGGAACCCGGGAGAGCCCCCGGGAGCCAGCGAAGAGCTTGGCTGCTGCGTCCAGGGCTGCTGCTGCCGCCGCGGCTGCTTGAAACTCCTCAAAGTTGAGAGCCGGCTAGAGGGTGCCGCCCGCCGGGAGCCGGAGGGAAAGGAAGTCGGAAGGTGCAAGAGTGACAGACACGGACAGACGGACGCGCAGACCTTCGGAAGGCACTGCGTAGGCAGCCTCCCCGGAGCCCACGAGGCTCCCCAGCACCGTGAGTTTTTTCCTGGATGGGTGGTTGCTAAGTATTTCCGTTTAATTGTTTGTAGCGTACGTTTGCGTATAGTTGTGTCTGTTGGAGGGAGTTTAAAACAACAACAACAACAACAACAACGCAGGATGCACCTTAGGAAAAAATTGAGTTTCTGATGGTGGGTGAGACGGTGGGTTGTATGGAGAGAATGTGACTGTACATTTTTATAAGCAGGACTAACCCAGGAAAGAGGAAAAAATACATTTAACAGTGAAGAGGCAACACAGAGCTCCCTATTGTGAAATAAAACCCATTTCAAAAGTTATTGGAAAGAAAGTAAGGTATGGCTCTTATGGGTTAACTAGTGGTAGTCAGTTTCTGCTTTTTACTCCCTCTGAATTATTAATTGTTTGCCAGGTTCACTGGTGGGAGGCTGAGCCGGTGGAAAAGACACCGGGAAGAGACTCAGAGGCGACCATAATGTCGTTACGTGTACACACTCTGCCCACCCTGCTTGGAGCCGTCGTCAGACCGGGCTGCAGGGAGCTGCTGTGTTTGCTGATGATCACAGTGACTGTGGGCCCTGGTGCCTCTGGGGTGTGCCCCACCGCTTGCATCTGTGCCACTGACATCGTCAGCTGCACCAACAAAAACCTGTCCAAGGTGCCTGGGAACCTTTTCAGACTGATTAAGAGACTGGACCTGAGTTATAACAGAATTGGGCTTCTGGATTCTGAGTGGATTCCAGTATCGTTTGCAAAGCTGAACACCCTAATTCTTCGTCATAACAACATCACCAGCATTTCCACGGGCAGTTTTTCCACAACTCCAAATTTGAAGTGTCTTGACTTATCGTCCAATAAGCTGAAGACGGTGAAAAATGCTGTATTCCAAGAGTTGAAGGTTCTGGAAGTGCTTCTGCTTTACAACAATCACATATCCTATCTCGATCCTTCAGCGTTTGGAGGGCTCTCCCAGTTGCAGAAACTCTACTTAAGTGGAAATTTTCTCACACAGTTTCCGATGGATTTGTATGTTGGAAGGTTCAAGCTGGCAGAACTGATGTTTTTAGATGTTTCTTATAACCGAATTCCTTCCATGCCAATGCACCACATAAATTTAGTGCCAGGAAAACAGCTGAGAGGCATCTACCTTCATGGAAACCCATTTGTCTGTGACTGTTCCCTGTACTCCTTGCTGGTCTTTTGGTATCGTAGGCACTTTAGCTCAGTGATGGATTTTAAGAACGATTACACCTGTCGCCTGTGGTCTGACTCCAGGCACTCGCGTCAGGTACTTCTGCTCCAGGATAGCTTTATGAATTGCTCTGACAGCATCATCAATGGTTCCTTTCGTGCGCTTGGCTTTATTCATGAGGCTCAGGTCGGGGAAAGACTGATGGTCCACTGTGACAGCAAGACAGGTAATGCAAATACGGATTTCATCTGGGTGGGTCCAGATAACAGACTGCTAGAGCCGGATAAAGAGATGGAAAACTTTTACGTGTTTCACAATGGAAGTCTGGTTATAGAAAGCCCTCGTTTTGAGGATGCTGGAGTGTATTCTTGTATCGCAATGAATAAGCAACGCCTGTTAAATGAAACTGTGGACGTCACAATAAATGTGAGCAATTTCACTGTAAGCAGATCCCATGCTCATGAGGCATTTAACACAGCTTTTACCACTCTTGCTGCTTGCGTGGCCAGTATCGTTTTGGTACTTTTGTACCTCTATCTGACTCCATGCCCCTGCAAGTGTAAAACCAAGAGACAGAAAAATATGCTACACCAAAGCAATGCCCATTCATCGATTCTCAGTCCTGGCCCCGCTAGTGATGCCTCCGCTGATGAACGGAAGGCAGGTGCAGGTAAAAGAGTGGTGTTTTTGGAACCCCTGAAGGATACTGCAGCAGGGCAGAACGGGAAAGTCAGGCTCTTTCCCAGCGAGGCAGTGATAGCTGAGGGCATCCTAAAGTCCACGAGGGGGAAATCTGACTCAGATTCAGTCAATTCAGTGTTTTCTGACACACCTTTTGTGGCGTCCACTTAATTTGTGCCTATATTTGTATGATGTCATAATTTAATCTGTTCATATTTAACTTTGTGTGTGGTCTGCAAAATAAACAGCAGGACAGAAATTGTGTTGTTTTGTTCTTTGAAATACAACCAAATTCTCTTAAAATGATTGGTAGGAAATGAGGTAAAGTACTTCAGTTCCTCAATGTGCCATAGAAAGATGGGGTTGTTTTCCAAAGTTTAAGTTCTAGATCACAATATCTTAGCTTTTAGCACTATTGGTAATTTCAGAGTAGGCCCAAAGGTGATATGACTCCCATTGTCCCTTTATTTAGGATATTGAAAGAAAAAATAAACTTTATGTATTAGTGTCCTTTAAAAATAGACTTTGCTAACTTACTAGTACCAGAGTTATTTTAAAGAAAAACACTAGTGTCCAATTTCATTTTTAAAAGATGTAGAAAGAAGAATCAAGCATCAATTAATTATAAAGCCTAAAGCAAAGTTAGATTTGGGGGTTATTCAGCCAAAATTACCGTTTTAGACCAGAATGAATAGACTACACTGATAAAATGTACTGGATAATGCCACATCCTATATGGTGTTATAGAAATAGTGCAAGGAAAGTACATTTGTTTGCCTGTCTTTTCATTTTGTACATTCTTCCCATTCTGTATTCTTGTACAAAAGATCTCATTGAAAATTTAAAGTCATCATAATTTGTTGCCATAAATATGTAAGTGTCAATACCAAAATGTCTGAGTAACTTCTTAAATCCCTGTTCTAGCAAACTAATATTGGTTCATGTGCTTGTGTATATGTAAATCTTAAATTATGTGAACTATTAAATAGACCCTACTGTACTGTGCTTTGGACATTTGAATTAATGTAAATATATGTAATCTGTGACTTGATATTTTGTTTTATTTGGCTATTTAAAAACATAAATCTAAAATGTCTTATGTTATCAGATTATGCTATTTTGTATAAAGCACCACTGATAGCAAATCTCTCTCCAAAATTCTTAAAGTTGATTTTTTTAAAGGGGGAGGGGAAGGCTTTAATGTGTTCTAGATCAATTTATACCTTCCGTATGACGTTTTACTCTGATATCATTGTGCACTTTAGCCAGATCCAGAAAACACTCAAATTTATTTTGCAACAAGTGAGAGCCCAGGAGACCTCCTTATTATCCTGTCTCTGCTTTGAGGCAATCAAGTACCCTCTCTGAACCTAGGTTCCCTCATCTGTAAAACAAAGGTTTCAGACCAGATGGTGTTTAAGGTTTCTCCCCATACTGGAATGAATGATTTCTTGGTGGTATTAGCATCATCACAGACCTATACTTGCTTTCTGAAACTCTACCACATACTGAAGGAATACAGGAATGGGATTAAGATGACTAGCATAGCAGTGTACAGCTTGAAGAGATGTTCCACATCATCACTCCAGCTCCTTCTCTTTTCTCAGGGACAAATGAGGCCCAGAGAGAATACGACCTGTGTAAGGTCAAACAGTGGCAGGGAAAGAAGGAGAGCTGGGGTTTAGCATTCTCCCTGGTGAAGATTGGAGGTCCAAAGAAATGACTCCTTTTTAAGGGATGGGCATAAAAAAGTGATCAAAACATTGCAAAGGAGAATCAAAGATTGATTGTCCTGGGGCTAAGAAAGAAGATAATTTTTAAAGAATGGGAGTGGGCAACAGTGAAAAATATTGCAGATAAGTAGATAAGGATAGAAGATCAACCACTGACTGGTAGTAATGGTTTTCTGTGAACAAATCAGAATAGTAATAGTAATAACGATAATCAGGGATGCATGGTGAGAGCTCCCTAAGTGCCATGTGGGGCTTTCAGTGGCAGACTGGGCAGCGGGAAGTTAAGGAACAAGTAGCCAGGAGGTGTCCTTTTAGGGAACAGTATGTAGATCCGCTGCTCGGTAGCATTGAAAAGTCCCTATTGGATGGTGTTAAAAATTACTGTCCCTGCCCCTTAAACACCAACCTCACCCTTTGGACAATATCCTTCAGAGCCAAAGATGTTACAAGCAAGCATTTTATTCTGCTTACTGCCATTAAAATAATTAGGAAGAATTCTGTGACTTGTATGACCTTGGAAATCATCACCTCTTCTTGCTTTATAGAAACGCAGACTCAAGAGATGCTGTGATTTGTTTAGGATCATACAGCTAGTCTGGACACAAGGGAAACCTCTTGATCCATGAAAGCTCTCCAGCAATGTGATATTCCGGGAATGTTTAATAGAGCTAGGACCATCCTCTGACAAGGAAGTTGGAGAGAGGATTCCTAAATTAAATCTTTTTCGGAAGGGACCGCTAAGGTTCTTCCATTCCTCAAATCCTTGATCCTATGAAAGTAAGTGTTGCATTTGCCAGGGAAATATGGACAGTGCTAGGAGTAAGGAATGGCTTTCTGGCAAAAGGATAGGATGAGCTGAGATAGAAACTAAGATACTTATAACCAAAACAAACAAACAAACAAAAGCAGAAAGAAAATCCCAAATACTGAAAAGCAAAGCTGTGTTTTGAGCAAAAGTAGGAAGGGCTGTTGATCAAAAAAGTATGAAACTGAATGTTATGATGTAGAATTTTAAGTTCTTGGATGTACCAATTTTTTTATAGGAGCCTGATCACATATATTTTAAATATAAGAACAAAAGTAACTTACCCTTTTAAAATTTATCTCACTGAGACCTTTTATATAATTTTCTTTCCAAGTAATAATCTATGTAACTGATTTTTTTTAAGCCACTTAGTATTTTTTATTATATAGTTGCGAGAAGTGGAAACTCACTGGAGAAATCAATCAAAGTTCATAAAAGTGAAATTTTCCAAGGCTTAGAGTATTTTTTATTATAATAAAGATACTGGGTCCACTATTCCCTATATACATATGATAATATATTCTATAGTTGTGAGTTAAAATTTTAAAGACACTTTCAAGATCTAGAATCTGAAAGAAGGACCTAAAAGATTTTCTTATTTATAATTAACTTCTGCATTAGTCCTCACTGTTCAGTCTAGAGACACTAAAATATATTCATTTTTTAGCTTTAATTGCTTGAATTATTTGCACGGAAAAATGTTTTTTATATTTTAAAATAAACATTTTCCTAACAATCACAAGGGACGTAGATTAAACTTAGGGGGGTGGAAACATCAGAGGAACAGGAAGAGACATTACCAGTTCAAATTCTGAAAAGATATTTGATTTGGGATCCTCTGGCGAAGCACTATTAAAACAGGATACAGCCTAAGCATCCTACAGCATCATTGCTTTTCCTTTGCCATAACTGCTGCTAGCTTGGTGTCACCTTCCAGTGTCATCTAGTTTACCAAATGATCTAGCAGTAGGTTCAAAACTAGGTTTCTCAATAGACTCGTAGGGGAAAGCTAAACAAGCAAGGGTTTCCAGCAGCTACCCCCTGCACACTTCTCAACCAGAGATTCCTATTCAAGATGTTTGGGGTAAGGCCTGCCCAACTTTTTTTTTTTTTTAAATTTACTGTGCCATTCTGATTCTACCTATTCTGATTCTACCTATTTTGATGAAACACATCCTGAAATGGGACCATAGCAAATTGTGTATTTGAGGCTATGTCAAAATACATTCCTTTTACTTGCTAATACATTTATTAATAAAAAGAAGAATTTTAGCCCTCTAAAAATATTCTCATATATTAGAAAAACAGAAGAGTTTGATTCACGGACACTAAATGAAACATAGAGTAAATTGGCTGTAACTTATGACTTATATTTTTCTAAACTGGGGAACATGGAATAATTACTTTGAGATGACTATATCCCTGATTCTTTCATTTGTTAAAACTATTTCTAGTTTGAAGCAGCTACAACAGATTGGGTTCCTAGCAATGAGCTTTGGAGCTTTCAAATTTGATTAGATTATAATAAAGTGAGGACATATTCCAAGGATGTTTGAGTGCAGATTTCGTCTACGGAGAAGCAAACTCTTTGCTTCTCCAATATATTAGAAGAATAGTTTTTAAAGAAAGCACAAGATTTTTTTCATGGTTCTCTCATTCATCCCTGCCCAAGAGCCAGCCCCCTGATTCATGATTTATTATAATATGAAAGTTAGTGTGGAAAGATGATGATTAATTTGCCCTTGCAAGTAATATTGGATGGTAATATATAAAAAGTAGAACTAAAAAGTCTTATAACTATCTCTTGAATAATTTAGAGGACTGCTTAAGCGGCCATTGTTGCTTGTGGATAGATGCCAGGGAAGGAAGCTCTTTTACAATAAGGACCAGAGTATATAAAAATAGATACTTTGTCAATTGTAAAATGTGCATATGGCATTTATACTGGTTTTAACTTATTAAGCACCTACTAAATACCAGGGACACTGTGTGAGATAGTTTTTATTTATTATCATTCCTTGTTATAGCAGCCTTAAATGACAGGAAATATTACTCTGTTACAGATGGTAAAAAGCAAAAGATGGGAAAGGATAAATCATTTTCCCAGGTGACCGAGTTAATAAGCTGTTTTTATCATGATAATTATTTTAAAAAATATCTCTCCACAGTACTCGCATAGACGTTTAACCAATAGAATGACTTTGTAAAGCATGAGTGAGAAGCAAGCTCTCTATAAATGTAAGAGTTGAATGAACTAATGCTCGCAGCAAGTCTGGGGAGAACAGAAATGGAAGGTCAGGGGATTATAAATCATAATAAAGGTGAACATGTTTTTTTCCCTATAAAATACAATGTGTTACTAAGTAGCAAAATTTGAAATCTACCTAAGAAGATAAGAGGTTTATAAACTATTGGCTCCAGTCTATTGGCTCTTTTTAGTCCAGTTGCACTTCACACATGAAATTGCCTAATATGCAAAATAAATATCTGCTTTATCGTTATAAACTATATATCAAAATATTGAAATGAATAAGTGATTACATTCAATATTTTTAAATTAAAAAATGACCCAAATGTATGGGTAAACATTCTATTTGAGGGAATATCAGAGAATTTGTTTTAAATTTCTAGGAAAGTGGCAGAGACAAGTCAGACCCCATGGGAGATTCTTCCAACTAATTTTAAAAATAGATTTCTCAAGATAATTTTAAAATTATTTAACAGGGTAGTCTCACTAGCTTACTTGATTAAACTTCCCTATGAGGTTAGCAGAGTGTCAAATGTATTTGTAGAAAATTTTTGTAGTGTCCACAGGATCTTAGAGTCATGGAGTCAAGAATCTAGGATTGAGGGTGATCACTTTGGTGATGAATGGCTAGTAGTAACCCAAAGAAGATTATTGGGCATTGCTAGACACAGCCATAAATGATGTATAATAACCACTTTCTCCTCTTAAAGGAGATTACAGTACAACTGAGAGAGCAAACAAATAAACCCATTCAAAAGAAATGAGGTAATCTATTTGTAACTATAATGGCCAGTAGGAGGTGAGAAGGGAATATACTCAGAGATCTTGTTTTAACCAACTAGGCCAATGTGGTACAGGTTTAAATACTACATAACCATCCCACAAATGCCGCAAATATTACCTTAGCTAGGATCTTGACCTGCAGCTAGCTGATGTTTTAGGGTTATACATTATCATTCTTAATCAAATCTAGAGGAGTCAGGGACCTTAAAATTTTGCACTGGTCCTCTATCTATATGCACAGCCCTCACCTCCATACAGTTAGGCTGAAGCCTTTTAAATGTGTGTGTCCTAGCCATGCCATACAGAATGTGAATAAAAACAATAATAACATTTCTTATATGTAAGCTCCTTGCTAATGGCTTTATATATTTTATCTCATATCTGTGAGGGGGATATTATTTTCGTGTCCATTTGACAGATGGAGATACTGAGGCTTAGGAATATTACGTGATTTGCCCAGAGAGCATGTAGTAAAGGAGTCAGGATTTAAACCCAGTTGTCTGGATTCAGAACCCAGTCTTTCAATGTCTGTCATCTAATAAATTAAACTGTAATTCTTCTCAGCTCCATAAGAGGGCGTTGCTCATCATGTCCCCTTTGCCCTCCTGCCTCCTTTTGTCTGGCTTGAGGCTACCTTTCCTTCAGTGTGCTGGCTGTTTCCAGGATTCTACTCTGTCTTTCCATGCTGCGGCTGCCTTAGTCCTAGCAGCTCACTGCTTTGGTCCTTAAGAAATGCCGGCTTATATTCTTCTGCCTCTCTTTATATTCCCCCCTTCCTGACCCAGATCTTCAACTTCTAGAGGATATGCCTTCTATCTCTTTATCCAGTACCTAGCACATGGGATATGTTTCCATGTCTTAGCTTTTTAATTCTATTCATTCGTTCATTCATTCATGCATTCCATAAATAGTATTGAATACCTAATATATGCCAGTCCTTGTGCTTGACCCAGACATCAATGATGATCAAGCTGCTCCCAGGTTTCAAAGAGAGGCAGAAATATAGTTTTATCATGAGGCCAGTGCCATGATACAGAAATGCCCAAAGACAGGGAAGTCAGGGAAAGATTCCTGGAAGAAATAATGCCCAAGTGGGGGCTTCAAGGAAGACTATGTTTAGAGAATCTGCACAGCTGAAAATGCAGGAGATGGAAGGCAAGACTGTGAATTCCCAGGTCCATGGGAATTCAACTAAAGTGGCTGTCAGGAGGCCAGAGTGCCAGCATCCCAGGAACGGTCTTATAATGAGGCCCTTCGATAGTTTGATTACTAGACATTCCTCTCTCTACACTGAAAATTTAGCTGCCATGTATTCCTATTTCATAGCTCTTCAAGGAGGAAACATACTAAATTGGCTCATGTAAATGCTTATAGCATATTTTGCTAAGCTGAAAAGAGTTAGAAATATTAGCTTCTCTTGTGTAACATTGTGGGCTTAATACTGTAATGATGAAATAATCCTACTTAATTCAGTTATCACTCTATAGACCAAGAAATGTCTTAGAGCTAATGTTTACCCAGGCCTCACCATGATTAAATTTACATTGCTAGCTCAGATATTGATCTGACTAAGCTAGTTTTATAAGAGTGAATGATTTGGATGGGAAGAGGCAGAAAGATGTGATTTTCAAGGGGGCGGGGGGATAAACATCAGACTGTCCTGCAGAATTAAATCACAATAGTTCAGGCTGCTTTTTCAGCATTTGTGTGCATTTTTGCCCCAACTCTACCTGGTTAAATACTTCTTCAAAGCACTTTTGTTTGCACAAATCTTTCTCAAAGTCTAGGCTTGTAGAGCTATTGCAGTTTTTTTAAAGCCTATTTTTTCAACCGTATTCCTTTTCCCAGAGAAAGTATCTTGCCTGAGGTGAAAACACAATGCAAGGTCTGTGATGTGAAAGCTTAAAGCAGTTGTATTTTTTTTATTTGTTCTCAGCTTTTTAATATTCATACTTAATTATAACCTTAGGGAAGCATTCAGCTCTCAATCTGACCTACTTCAAATCAGTGGAGAAAATAGCAAATATCTCCCCTAAGCAACCGTTTATAATAACTTTGACTTTTTTCCAAAACCCAGAGGAAATACAGTGCTTGTTCCTGGGCCAAGTTTGTCAGGAGCTATTTGTGTTAATAAATCTTACTCATGTAAGGATTCAATTGAAAAAGCATATAATTGACTATTGTATATAATTTGTAATAAGGACCTTAATTAGCTATAGTACATAGTGATTTGAATGACAAATGTATTATTACATTTTTTCTTGTTTAATTGGTCAATATTAAGCATGTTAGGAATTTGGCAGGGTTGTTGAAAATGAAATTATATACAGCCCCGTAAAAGGGCTGAGGTTTTCCTAAAGAACTAGAGAAGGCACTGCTCTGTAGGTATTTTCTACATATAGTGGCAAGGTGACTGGCTAACTCCCCTGCTATTTGTCACTCAGGGTATTCAGCTTTAAGTACCACACACTGGGGGAGATGGGAGTGTCATCTACCAGTATTAAGTATATCTCATACTTTTCCTTGAATGTAGGGGCAGTTGCCAGAATTTCTGCCAGGCAATGAAGCCTCTTCCCACATTATCTAAAGATTTAGATGGAGGCAGAGACATTTATAGGGAGTTTTCCTGGCTACATCTTCATCTCCTCTACGTATCTCTGGAAAAATGCTTGGAACACTTGTTTATTATTTGCTACCAAACCACCTTAAAGATACTCAGCTGTAGATACTTGCCCTTCAGCCTCACCACACATACTGTCTTTTAAAAGCATTAGTGAATCCTTTACGTGCCAGGTACTGAGCATTTTACTATCTATGGGCATTTCCATGCAAAGTGTTCGTATATGATGTAAAAATGCCTTCTAGGTTCTTCCCATGACTTTTCTCATTTCAGTCAAATGGCAATTCCATTCTTCCAATTGCTCAGCCCCAAAACCTTGGTGTCATCTTTGACTACCTTCTGCTTTTACTCCCTATGCCTGATCTGCAGGAACATTCTCTTGGCTCTGCCTTCAAAATATACCTGGAGTCTGAGCTCTTCTCACCACCACCACTTGATCCCACATCCCAGTCACCAGCTCCCTCCCTGGATGATTGCAGCACCTGACTGGCCTCCCTGCATCCACCCGTCCCCTCCTGGGGTCTGTTCTTAAAGCTCAGGATCCCTCTGAGCAGAAGGCAGCTCATGTCCTTCCTCTGACTACTCACTGGAGGCACATGTGGAGATTTCAAAAACATCCCCAGGCCTGGGCTTCACCGCAGGAGATTCTGATTCACTTGGTTTAAAAGCTCCACAGGGGATTCTAAAGTGCAGTGGTGGTTGAGCCCTTACAAAGGTCGGCTTGTATCCACCTCCAGCCAGTTCTCTAGCCGCATTTCCCACCACGCTGTCCCACACTCCCTGTGCTCTCATCTGCCAGTCTCTGTGCACCAAGCTGGCTGCCCCTCAGGCTTCTGCCCCTCCTCTAAAACACTCCTCCTATTCCGGCCTGACTGGCTTGGCCTCCTTCAGGTCTTTGCTCAGCCTGGCCTCTGACCAGGTTAATTAAAGTCGATTCCCCAACTCTGTCCCAAGCCCACCCCATCCCACCCCACCCCACCCCACCCCACCCCATCCCATCTCCATCACATTCATCTCCATGCGACATCCTACATCTTTTATTACTATATAAGTTCCACGAGGACAGGCATTTTTTATCTGTTTTGTTTGGTGGTGTATTCCCAGTGCCCAGAACAGAACCTAGCCCAGCAATGATAAATATTTGTCAAAAGAATGAAAGCCCAGGAAGGAGCTGTAAGAGCTCCCATAGTAATAAACTGTAAGGTGTGGAAAGGCCATAATAGGCATGTACTGTTTACAATATGGTTGATTTCCATGTGGCACATTTTCTACTTTGCTCCATCGCTTGTGACATTCTTTACCTCCCCAAAAGAGCACACAAAGAGTTTTGCCATATTCAGTGATAAATAAGCTGTCTAAATACATCTAAGTACCCATTTAGCATGTATTTCCCAGTCGTTTAAGGCATCCCATTTGGTATTTATGAGAGGATGTCATGCTGAGTACAGAGAAGCAGGAAGCCTGGATGCCTGTCTCCTCTCAGCATCTGCTAACAGAGTAATGCCAATTAGCACGTGTCAAGGGCCTGAAAGAAATCAGACTGGGCTTAAAAGGTATCAGGCAGTAGGCTTGACACAAATTTAATAAGCTGTCTCTTACCTTTGGAGCAGGTTTTTTTTGTTGTTGTTGTTTTGGAATCCAGTTCTGTCAAGAGGAATTTTGACTGCTTTAGTGAGTAAATGGCAGAGATGCAGTGTTTACTCAGCCAGAGATGACCTCTGAGGAGGTTGTGTAGTCTGACAGGCCAATTAACTATTCTCCTGTCGATACTTGGAAACTTTCAGCAACTTCCATGGCAACTTTTTTTTTTAATTAATTCCTGATATGAGGGGAGACCTCCATCACTAGAGAGAAAACCAAGCAAAAAAGAAACCTGAGTGGAGTGGGGTATGCAGTATGGGGATTGGCCACTCAGCATATCCACCTACTGCAAGGGGTAGCATGGGGAGAGTAAGTGTGTGATGGTGGATATGAAGTGTTTTGTGAACTGTGAAATGCAAGGTGAAGACAACTATGAAAGATGACACTGGGCCAGTTTCAGTGGCTCAGAGGTGGCTCACCACAGCTGAGTGGCCCTCTCACTTCCATCAGTGTTTCCAGAGCAACTACTTCTCCTCTGCCCCACCTCAACTCCTCTTTGCTTTCCATTGAGAGTCCATGTAATATTAAATCCAAGAGAGCAGTGGGCAGCATACCACTTCCAGTAGGTTAATCCTCTTGGCGTGTTATGCTCTAAAGTGTTAAAGCAATTTTTTCAACTCTACGCCATTGTTATCTCATCAACCTAATTTCTGGCTATTAACAATAAAACCAATGAAGAAGAAGTGACAATGAAAAATGAGTAGCGTTATAACATTTATTGAGTACTTACCATGTGCCAGTCATTGTTTTAGGTGCATTCTCTGAGCTAACCCATGTAATCCTCCTAACAACCTCTGCGTTAGGATGACTGTGAAATCCACCTGACCTATGAGCAAACTGCAGCACCCAGAGATTTAGAAACTTGCCCAAGATCACACAGCTGGTAAATGGCACAGCCAGAATTCATACACGTTGTTTCATTTCATCTAGATGACAACACCATGAAGTAAGTACTGTTGCCCATTTTACATATGAGAAAATTGAAAGACATGAATTACTCACCCAAGGCCATGTGCCTAGTACGTAGGAAGTTAAGATTAGAAACCGATTTGTCTGGCTTCAAAACACTTGGCTGTCTTTCTTGGTTAAGACCCACTGTTTTTGATTTATTATTAACATTCTAATTTTGGAATAACCATAACTTTTGTGGGAAGAAGGCATTCAGATATCATTGGGTGTTAGGTAAAGTTCCTATAATTTTTGGCTTCATTTAAAAAAAAAACAACCAGTACATGAAAATCTGAGCAGCAACATGTTAGAGCTGCCAAAAGTGACTGCTGTCGGCCCTGGTGACTGTATTCTGTGTTTGGCACAGTGCTAAATTCTTTGCTTACATAATTGTGAAGAGGTAAGCTATCCCTGTGAAGTAGACATTATTAGACCCATTTTCAGATGGGAAAATTGCCAGAAGTTATATAACATAGCTAGTGGGTAGCCAGGATGGGACCTGACCCCACATCCCTCGATCCCAAAGCCTGTGATCATTGCATGGCCACACAGTCCTCTGTTTACCAGTGGTCAGTGCAAAGGCCATATGCTGATGGGTACCCAGACAACCTAACCACACCATTAAAAAAAATTGTAATGGAGGAATTAAGAATGCTTGTCATTGTATTGGGGAACTTTTGAGTGTGAGCTCAAGAGCCAAATCCTTATCTGAGCTTGTCTGGATTAGTTTATCAGACAGCAGACTGGTTCTGTGGTCCCCACCAGCCATCTCAGAAAAGGATGCTACTATTGGCCATGAGAAAGACCCTTTAAGATTGAAAATATTCATTACAAATCTAAAATTTCTGTTGGAAAAACAATTCCAAGAGCATATCCTACATGTACCACCTTGATACCTGTGCCAAAAAGTAGACAGTGAAGCCATTTGGTGCACGAGCTCTTCTTTACACTCACAGACATGTTAAGATTATTTTATTCATTCTTTTAAATGTTCACATTCATTCACTTTCTGGCAACTTCCAGAATGCATACTGACAGCTGGATAAAATTAACTGAATGTATACAGTAAAAATATTTCTAAAAATAGGAGCAGCATTATCATTTTGACAGCAGCCACAAAATTTATGTTCCTATGTATTATTCATGTTTATAGTTTTATGATTGTTTTTATTCTCATGGAAAAATGTCCACTGAATTTGGCACCAAGTATTGTTTGTTCTATTTAATTTTCTCTCTTCTCCTTCCATATCTCTCCTTCCTTCCTTCTTCCCTCCCTCCCTCTCTTTCTTCCTTCCTTCCTTCCTTTGTCTCTTTCTCTCCCTCTCTCTATTTCTCTCTCTCTTTTTCCTCTCTCCCTTTTCTTTCTTTTTTTTTTTAATTAAAATACTAGTTTCAAAATAATTTAGTTCTAGTCTAGAAAAGTCTAGTCCTCTCCCAGACTAGTATACTTTTTAGAATCTCACTATTTGGAGTCTACTAATACATGCCATTTGCAGTCTAAAAACACATTATGTTTTTTCATTCAGCTCAATTTCTAACATTAAGTTTAAATCATTGCTATCACCAGTATTTCTTAAATGGCATGTAACCAGGAGAGATTACCCTTCTGTGTTACTCCTAAAAGTGTTGCCATTTCAGTAAATGCCAGGTTAATGGAGGGAGGGAGATAACCATATTCAATCCACCATGAGTCCGTTTCACCTACTTTTAAATGTTACTTTAAGATGTCATAAAATATCCTATAATATTATCAAAACTGACATTCTGAATCATGATAATAACTGTTTCTGAGAAATACTTACGTAACTTTAAGTTTGCAAAATATGTATCTCATTAATGTCAAGATTTTTTTTTTAATGTTAAGACAAATTTGTTGACTGATAAAATGGGGCAACATAAAGCTCTACAATCATTGCAGGTCAAGGAATTTAATCCAGGTGTTTCTATTATCAATCTATTTTTTTTTAAAGCCTTAAAAATAGTAACAGAAGGCTAGGTGCGGTGGCTCACACCTGTAATCCTAGCACTTTGGGAGGCCAAGGTGAGTGGATCGCTTGAAGTCAGGAGTTCAAGTCCAGCCTAGCCAACATGGTGAAACCCTGTCTCTACTAAAAATACAAAAATTAGCTGGGCGTGGTGGCGCATGCTGGTAATCCCAGCTACTTGGGAGGGTGAGGCAGGAAAATTGTTTGAATCTGGGAGGCAGAGGTTGCAGTGAGCCGAGATTGCGCCATTGCATTCCAGCCTGGGGGACAAGAGCGAAACTTCATCAGAAAACAAAAATAATAGTTATAATAATAACTGAAACTACAGTAATTCACCCTTTCCCAGTCTTCAAGCAGATTAACAAGTCAAAAATCAACGGTTTCACTCTTAGCTAGTTAAAGATGATTCATATCATTAAGCAGAAACTTTTCCTAATGCAGAACTATTTATTTTTTATAAACAGAGAATAAAACATCTTCCTCTGAGCACTTGAATTTGATAACCAAGCTTCTACACACCAGAGCACAGTCTTAAACAACCTATTGCTTTCTCGATGGGGACAAATAATTTTTGTAGCATTTTTTCTTTTAAAATTATGGCACCCTTTTTTCTAATTTTATTGTAGTTGTTGCCTATTCTCACCAATTAGATTGTTGTCATGAGAATGGATTATTTTGGAATAGCCATGGGCTTCAGAACATGCCATCTCAAAATATGGAGGCTTGGAATTTGAGAAAACAGAGGAAGTAGATGCCATGCTCAACCTTCCCCAACCCTTCTCCTTTGAGAAAATATCTTCATTCAAGAGGCATCCTTCCTATACCTGGAGGGAAGGAACATTCTTTTTTTTTTTTTTTTTTTTTTGAGACATAGTCTAGCTCTGTTGCCCAGGCTGGAGTGCAGTGGCACGATCTTGGCTCACTGCAAGCTCCGCCTCCCGGGTTCATGCCATTCTCCTGCCTCAGCCTCCCCAGTAGCTGGGATTACAGGTGCCCGCCACCACGCCTGGCTAATTTTTTTTTTTTTGTATTTTTAGTAGAGACGGGGTTTCACCATGTTAGCCAGGATGGTCTCGAACTCCTGACCTCGTGATCCGCCCGCCTCTCTGAAGAGAGGGACACAGGGAAGAATGTGAACAAACAGACCTTGCCAAATTCCCCTGTTTATTACCGTTAGATCACACTCTCTTTGTCTAATCATACCTCTCTACGACTATCTACCTCTTCATTAACCTAAGTGTAAAAATACACAAGTTTACCTATTTCTTTTTGTCTTAATTTCTGAAGGCCCCTGTGTCACAAAAAACATATTAAATAATGTATTTACTCTTCTCTTGTTAATCTGTGTTTTGTTATAGGGCCTTCTGCTGTGAACTTAGGGATGGATGAGGAAAAGATACTTTTCATCCCCTACAATGTGTTAAATAAAATAATGGGAAGCCATTGCTTTGGACTGAGTTTCTGGACTAGGCCCCAACAGACCAAACCAAAATGGAGTCACTAATGCTAAAGTTCCATACCACCAAGCAAAAACTAAATTGTTTATCTGACCTTCCAAGAGAGAGCAATAATAGCCCAATTCCCAAACAGTCCAGTTTTAGCAGCATAATAAGGAAGTCCCCTCTGGTTTAACCTTTACAAGGAAAGTAACTTTGAAACAACCTATCTGCTTTTTGTTCCTTCTTTGTTTTCTTCAGCCTTTTTCTGTCTGAAATACTGCCAGGTTGCCAAGTGGAGTTGTATGAACCCTTCTGATTCTTGAGGGCTGCTTTGATTTGGGAATTGTCCTTTGCTCACATAAACTCTATTAAATTTGTTTTAACTAAAGTTTTTCAAAAAATAAAATAGGATTAATATATATTTAAGTATTAGTATTTAAACAAATACTGGCTTTGGTCAAATACTACAGTAAGTAATGATTTTCTTTAAATTTTTTTTTCTAGGTCAGTATATGTCTTAGTTATTTTCTTTTTTTTTTAAATTTTATTATTATTATACTTTAAGTTTTAGGGTGCATGTGTACAACATGCAGGTTTGTTACATATGTATACATGTGCCATGTTGGTGTGCTACACCCATTAACTCATCATTTAGCATTAGGTATATCTCCTAATGCTATCCCTCCCCCCTCCCCCCACCCCACAACAGTCCCCAGTGTGTGATGTTCCCCTTCCTGTGTCCATGTGTTCTCATTGTTCAATTCCCATCTGTGAGTGAGAACATGCAGTGTTTGGTTTTTTGTCCTTGAGATAGTTTGCTGAGAATGATGGTTTCCAGTTTCATCCATGTCCCTACAAAGGACATTAACTCATCCTTTTTTATGGCTGCATAGTATTCCGTGGTGTATATGTGCCACATTTTCTTAATCCAGTCTATCACTGATGGACATTTCGGTTGGTTCCAAGTCTTTGCTATTGTGAATAGTGCCGCAATAAACATACGTGTGCATGTGTCTTTATAGCAGTATGATTTATAATCCTTTGGGTATATACCCAGTAATGGGATGGCTGGGTCAAATAGTATTTCTAGTCCTAGATCCCTGAGGAATCGCCACACCAACTTCCACAATGGTTGAACTAGTTTACAGTCCCACCAACAGTGTAAAAGTGTTCCTATTTCTCCACATCCTCTCCAGAACCTGTTGTTTCCTGACTTTTTAATGATCGCCATTCTAACTGGTGTGAGATGGTATCTCATTGTGGTTTTGATTTGCATTTCTCTGATGGCTAGTGATGATGAGCATTTTTTCATGTGTTTTTTGGCTGCATAAATGTCTTCTTTTGAGAAGTGTCTGTTCATATCCTTTGCCCACTTTTTGATGGGGTTGTTCATTTTTTCTTGTAAACTTGTTTGAGTTCATTGTAGATTCTGGATATTAGCCCTTTATCAGATGAGTAGGTTGCAGAAATTTTCTCCCATTCTGTAAGTTGCGTGTTCACTCTGATGGTGGTTTCTTTTGCTGTGCAGAAGCTCTTTAGTTGAATTAGATCCCATTTGTCAATTTTGGCTTTTGTTGCCATTGCTTTTGGTGTTTTAGACATGAAGTCCTTGCCCATGCCTATGTCCTGAATGGTATTGCCTAGGTTTTCTTCTAGGGTTTTTATGGTTTTATGTCTAACATTTCAGTCTTTAATCCATCTTGAATTAATTTTTGTATAAGATGTAAGGAAGGGATCCAGTTTCAGCTTTCTACATATGGCTAGCCAGTTTTCCCAGCACCATTTATTAAATAGGGAATCCTTTCCCCATTGCTTGTTTTTGTCAGGTTTGTCAAAGATCAGATGGTTGTAGATATGGGGCATTATTTCTGAGGGCTCTGTTCTGTTCCATTGGTCTGTATCTCTGTTTTGGTACCAGTACCATGCTGTTTTGGTTACTGTAGTCTTGTAGTATAGTTTGAAATCAGGTAGCATGATGCCTCCAGCTTTGTTCTTTTGGCTTAGGATTGACTTGGCAATGAGGGCTCTTTTTTAGTTCCATATGAACTTTACAGTAGTTTTTTCCAATTCTGTGAAGAAAGTCATTGGTAGCTTGATGGGGATGGCATTGAATCTATAAATGACCTTGGGCAGTATGGCCATTTTCACGATATTGATTCTTCCAACCCATGAGCATGGGATGTTTTTCCATTTGTTTGTATCCTCTTTTATTTCATTGAGCAGTGGTTTGTAGTTCTCCTTGAAGAGGTCCTTCACATCCCTTGTAAGTTGGATTCCTAGGTATTTTATTCTCTTTGAAGCAATTGTGAATGGGAGTTCACTCATGATTTGGCTCTCTGTTTGTCTGTTATTGGTGTATGAGAATGCTTGTGATTTTTGCACATTGATTTTGTATCCTGAGAATTTGCTGAAGTTGTTTATCAGCTTGAGGAGATTTTGGCCTGAGATGATGGGGTTTTCTAGATATACAATCATGTCATCTGCAAACGGACAATTTGACTTCCTCTTTTCCTAATTGAATACCCTTTATTTATTTCTCCTGCCTGATTTCCCTGGCCAGAACTTCCAACACTGTGTTGAATAGGAGTGGTGAGAGAGGGCATCCCTGTCTTGTGCCAGTTTTCAAAGGGAATGCTTCCAGTTTTTGCCCATTCAGTATGATATTGTCTGTGGGTTTGTCATAGATAGCTCTTATTATTTTGAGATACATCCCATCAATACCTAATTTATTGAAAGTTTTTAGCATGAAGAGTTGTTGAATTTTGTCAAAGGCCTTTTCTGCATCTATTGAGATAATCATGTGGTTTTTGTCTTTGGTTCTCTTTCTATGCTGGATTACATTTATTGATTTGCGTATGTTGAACCAGCCTTGCATCCCAGGGATGAAGCCCACTTGATCATGGTGGATAAGCTTTTTGATGTGCTGCTGGATTCTGTTTGCCAGTATTTTATTGAGGATTTTTGCATCGATGTTCATCAAGGATATTGGTCTAAAATTCTCTTTTTTGTTTGTGTCTCTTCCAGGCTTTGGTATCAGGATGATGCTGGCCTCATAGAATGAGTTAGGGAGGATTCCCTCTTTTTCAATTGATTGGAATAGTTTCAGAAGGAACGGTAACAGCTCCTCTTTGTACCTCTGGTAGAATTCGGCTGTGAATCCATCTGGTACTGGACTTTTTTTGGATGGTGAGCTATTGATTATTGCCTCAATTTCAGAGCCTGTTATTGGTCTATTCAGAGAGTCAACTTCTTCCTGGTTTAGTCTTGGGAGGGTGTATGTGTCGATGAATTTATGCATTTCTTCTAGATTTTCTAGTTTATTTGCGTAGAGGTGTTTACAGTATTCTCTGATGGTAGTTTGTATTTCTGTGGGATCAGTGGTGATATCTCCTTTATCATTTTTTATTGCATCTATTTGATTCTTCTCTCTTTTCTTCTTTATTAGTCTTGGTAGCGGTCTATCAATTTTGTTGATGTTTTCAAAAAACCAGCTCCTGGATTCATTAATTTTTGAAGGGTTTTTTGTGTCTCTATTTCCTTCAGTTCTGCTCTGATCTTAGTTATTTCTCGTCTTCTGCTAGCTTTTGAATGTGTTTGCTCTTGCTTTTCTAGGTCTTCTAATTGTGATGTTAGGGTGTCAATTTTAGATCTTTCCTGCTGTCTCTTGTGGGCATTTAGTGCTATAAATTTCCCTCTACACACTGCTTTGAATGTGTCCCAGAGATTCTTTGTGTCTTTGTTCTTGTTGATTTCAAAGAACATCTTTATTTCTGCCTTCATTTCATTATGTACCCAGTAGTCATTCAGGAACAGGTTGTTCAGTTTCCATGTAGTGGAGCGGTTTTGAGTGAGTTTCTTAATCCTGAGTTCTAGTTTGATTGCACTGTGGTCTGAGAGACAGTTTGTTACAATTTCTGTTCTTTTACATTTGCTGAGGAGTGCTTTACTTCCAACTATGTGGTCAGTTTTGGATTAGGTGTGGTGTGGTGCTGAAAAAAATGTATATTCTGTTGATTTGGGGTGGAGATTTCTGTAGATGTCTATTAGGTCCGCTTGGTGCAGAGCTGAGTTCAATTCCTGGGTATCCTTTTTAACTTTCTGTCTCATTGATCTATCTAATGTTGACAGTGGGGTGCTAAAGTCTCCCATTATTATTGTGTGGGAGTCTAAGTCTCTTTGTGGGTCACTAAGGACCTGCTTTAAGATCTGGGTGCTCCTGTATTGGGTGCATATATATTTAGGATAGTTAGCTCTTCCTGTTGAATTGATCCCTTTACCATTATGTAATGGCCTTCTTTGTCTCTTTTGATCTTTGTTGATTTAAAGTCTGTTTTATCTGAGACTAGGATTGCAACCCCTGCCTTTTTTTGTTTTCCACTTGCTTGGTAGATCTTCCTCCATCCCTTTATTTTGAGCCTATGTGTGTCTCTACATGTGAGATGGGTTTCCTGAATACAGCACACTGATGGGTCTTGACTCTTTATCGAATTTGCCAGTCTGTGTCTTTTAATTGGAGCATTTAGCCCATTTACATTTAAAGTTAATATTGTTATGTGTGAATTTGATCCTGTCATTATGATGTTAGCTGGTGATTTTGCTCATTAGTTGATGCAGTTTCTTCCTAGCCTTGATCATCTTTACAATTTGGCATGTTTTTGCAGTGACTGGTACCGGTTGTTCCTTTCCATGTTTAGTGCTTCCTTCAGGAGCTCTTTTAGGGCAGGCCTGGTGGTGACAAAATCTCTCAGCATTTGCTTGTCTGTAAAGTATTTTATTTCTCCTTCACTTATGAAGCTTAGTTTGGCTGGATATGAAATTCTGGATTGAAAATTCTTTTCTTTAAGCATGTTGAATATTGGCCCCCACTCTCTTCTGGTTTGTAGAGTTTCTGCCGAGAGATCAGCTGTTAGTCTGATGGGCTTCCCTTTGTGGGTAACCTGACCTTTCTCTCTGGCTGCCCTTAACATTTTTTCCTTCATTTCAACTTTGGTGAATCTGACAATTATGTGTCTTGGAGTTGCTCTTCTCAAGGAGTACCTTTGTGGCGTTCTCTGTATTTCCTGAATGTGAATGTTGGCCTGCCTTGCTAGATTGGGGAAGTTCTCCTGGATAATATCCTGCAGAGTGTTTTCCAACTTGGTTGCATTCTCCCCGTCATTTTCAGGTACACCAATCAGACATAGATTTGGTCTTTTCACATAGTCCCATATTTCTTGGAGGCTTTGTTCATTTCTTTTTATTCTTTCTTCTCTAAACTTCTCATTTAATTTCATTCATTTCATCTTCCATCACTGATACCCTTTCTTCCAGTTGATTGCATCGGCTACTGAGGCTCCTGCTTTCATCACGTAGCTCTCGTACCTTGGTTTTCAGGTCCATCAGGTCCTTTAAGGACTTCTCTGCATTGGTTATTCTAGTTATCCATTCATCTAATTTTTTTTCAAAGCTTTTAACTTCTTTGCCATTGGTTCCAATTTCCTCCTGTAGTTCAGTGTAGTTTGATCGTCTGAAGCCTTCTTCTCTCAATTCGTCAAAGTCATTCTCCGTCCAGCTTTATTCCGTTGCTGGTGAGGAGCTGCGTTGCTTTGGAGGAGGAGAGGTGCTCTGATTTTTAGAGTTTCCAGTTTTTCTGCTCTGTTTTTTTCCCATCTTTGTGGTTTTATCTACCTTTGGTCTTTGATGATGGTGAAGTACAGATGGGTTTTTGGTGTGGATGACCTTTCTGTTTGTTAGTTTTCCTTCTAACAGACAGGACCCTCAGCTGCAGGTCTGTTGGAGTTTGCTAGAGGTCCACTCCAGACCCTGTTTGCCTGGGTATCAGCAGCGGTGGCTGCAGAACAACGGATATTGGTGAACCGCAAATGCTGCTGCCTGATCGTTCCTCTGGAAGTTTTGTCTCAGAGGAGTACCTGGCTGTGTGAGGTGTCAGTCCGCCCCTACTGGGGGGTGCCTCCCTGTTAGGCTACTCTGGGGTCAGGGACCCACTTGAGGAGGCAGTCTGCCTGTTCTCAGATCTGAAGCTGCGTGCTGGGAGAACCAATACTCTCTTCAAAGCTGTCAGAGAGGGACATTTAAGTCTGCAGAGTTTACTGCAGTCTTTTCATTTGTCTGTGCCCTGCCCCCAGAGGTGGAGCCTACAGAGGCAGGCAGGCCTCCTTGAGCTGTGGTGGGCTCCACCCAGTTCGAGCTTCCCGGCCGCTTTGTTTACCTAATCAAACAACTAACTCGGCAATGGCGGGCGCCCCTCCTCCAGCCTTGCTGCCACCTTGCAGTTTGATCTTGGACTGCTGTGCTAGCAATGAGAGAGACTCCGTGGGCGTGGGACCCTCTGAGCCAGGTGCGGGATATAATCTCCTGGTGTGCCGTTTTTTAAGCCCGTTGGAAAAGCGTATTATTAGGGTGGGAGTGACCCAATTTTCCAGGTGCTGTCTGTCAGCCCTTTCTTTGACTAGGAAAGGGAATTCCCTGACCCCTTGCGCTTCCTGGGTGAGGTGATGCCTCGCCCTGCTTTGGCTCATGCACAGTGTGCTGCACCCACTCTCCTGCACCTACTGTGTGGCACTTCCCAGTGAGATGAACCTGGTACCTCAGTTGGAAATGCAGAAATCACTGGTCTTCTGTGTCGCTCACGCTGCGAGCTGTAGACCGGAGCTGTTCCTATTCGGCCATCTTGGCTCCTCCCCCTCTTAGTTATTTTCACATCAAGACATTCAAATTGTAGCTCTTAAATTTATATCTCTCTGGCCCCTCAGGTCCCTCCCAACAGCTCTCCTGTATTCTTCTGACATTGCTCTGACATAGAGTGTCTTTTGAGACCCTGAATATGACCTGCCACCTAATAAACATTCATTTCCTATTTAACGTTCTTAAGCTGTGTTAGTTTTAAGTAGGGAAATTAGATGCAGAACTAAATTTTGTCTTGCATAAAGCACTTGTAGTGGTGCAACTCTTCAGTATTGCATTCAAAATTCTCCTTGCAGCTTCGGGCAACATTTCCAGTGTTATGTCCCATAATTCTTCCATCTAAGCAACCCATTCTAATCTAGCCTACTCAGATTCCTTAAAGAAAATGTAGCAGGATTGTTAAGGAATCAGAGAGATTGATGGGGTTCAGGAGGATATGTATTAATTATTTAGGTGCACTGGCCCAGTCGGATTAACATCCAAAGGACTAAGCCCTGAACAAAGAGTTAGTTTACTTTTTAAGCATTTTGTGGGGCGGGGGTGTGTGTGGGGGGGTGGAGATCTGTGCAGGGGGAAGCATACTACAGAAGTGAGAAACAATGGCAGTTATTCAATTGAGACAGTCATTACATCATTTCTTACTTTTCAAGGAAAAACATGTTTTGCAACTTGAGTTTATCTGTCTAGTGACCTCGCAGCTGCACAGCTAGAGAAACAGGGTCTTCACAATGCCTGGGAAGGGAGGAGAGATAAGGCTCACTAGCCACAGAAAAATAGGCAGTATAGTTTTTAAAGGACTTCATCTTTTTCTCTTTCTCAGGGGGAACTGGGTTTTCTTACATACAACTGAGTTTCTGCTTACACACTCTTTAATTTCTTTGAATTCCTGTTCCAAATCCTTAAAGAATGTACTCCCTAGCATTTTCCATTGACTGATAGTTTATTAATCCTAAAAGACCTGACAGAAATTTGACTTCCATGAAGCCATTTTTGACCTCATTCACGTATTCACATGTTAAAGTAACATTTTCCAAATATCTACTGGTTCTGATTTCAACCCTCCTTAAAGGATCCGTTTGAAGCAAGGAAGGGACATTCGATTTGCATTTGAAACAGACCCCTCTGTTGCTAATTTTGAAATGGGCGGGGGACAGAAATGAAAGCAGGAAAACCAGGTTCAAGAGAAGGCAGGATTTTGGAGATATTGAAGAGGCACAGCTTTTAGGACTTCATAATTGATTGAAATGAGACAAATCATTTCAGAATCACATAAGTGCACTAATAAAGTATGCACAAGGTGCTGTAGGAGAACAAAGAAGGGTGGTGGTGCTGAATGTCTAGGGAAGACTTCCTAAGGATATAGTATCCCAGGGTAAGCCCTGAAGAAACAGTTTGTAAAGTGAAGTGGCATGGGAAGATGGGGATATCAGTCCAGTCTGAGAGAATAGTATGGTTAAAGGCTAAGAAACTGGAGAGAATGAAGTGCATTCAGGAAATTGAAAATAGTTTGCTTTTGCCAGACCACAGTTGAAGATGGGTAGAGGCAGGGGCTGTGCAGAGGGGAAGCCTGGAAAGCAGGCAGATCTCAGTATGAAATGTGCCATGCCCATCATTTCCACCTTGTTCTGAAAGCTATGTGGTTGGCCTGTGAAGGGTTTGTTAAATTAAGCTTCATCTAAAGCTCCCTCCTTGCGTATTTTAACTTCAGCCTAAAGGTTTCTCCTACCTAGTGAGCTGTAACCTAACCGAATGTGTAAACAGGCTGTAACCTACAATTGTGCCAATCTCCAAGTTTTGGCTAATCAAATGTGGCCAACTCTTCAAATTATATTCAAATAAGGGAAATGCCAAGCTGTAACCAATCCAGCCATTTCCGTACCTCACTTCTGTTTCTGTACAGCACTTTCCTTTTTCTTTTTCTATCACAAGGCAGTGCTGGAGACTCTTTCAGCCTATTCCGTTTCAGGAGGCTATTTGATTTGTGAATTATTCTTTGCTCAATTAGACTCTATTAAATTAAATTTGTCTAATTTTTCTTTGAACAGATTTTAGCAGCTGGAGTGGTATGAGTAGATTTGTAATTTAATAAGAGCTTTCTGACTGCAGTAAAGAGGAAGAGGCAGACGAGTTAGGGCATTATAAGACTAATTGGGAAGAAATTATGCAGGCCTAATTGAGAAGTAGTGATGGAGATGGAGAGGGGGATATATTTGAGAGTTATTTAGACCCTAGGATTGATCAGATCGGTGAGTAGATTAGATGGAGGAGGGTAGAAGAGAGCATGGAGGCTGACTTTATAACTTATGGCTTAGGTGGTGCAGAAAAGGATGCAATTCTCTAAGATGTTTGAAGGAGAAGAAAGTTTGTTTTGTTTTGTTTTGGTCATGTTGAGTTTAAGCAGCCTGTAGGGCATCAAAGAAGAAAGATTAGTACAAAGATGGATGAAGATGCCTGGAGCTCAGAAGATACAGCTGAGCCAGAGATTTAGATTCTGGCCATAAGCATTTAGTTAGGAATTCAAGACATGGGAGTGTATGAAATAAATCAGAGAATATGTGGCAAGAGAACAGAAGAGGATGGAACAGTGGAGACAGCAATGTTTAAGCAGTTGGAAGAGCAGGAGCCAGAAAAGGAGGGACCAAAGAGATGAGAGCAAATCCAGAGGAGAAGATAGTATCACTAAAGCCAAATGAAGAGAAGGAGAGACAGTGTCCAGTAGGGCCAGATACTTCAGAGATCAAGAGAGAGAAAGCCTAGAAATGTCCACTAGATCTAGGAACAGATTACCTTGGCATAAATCGTTAAGTGGAGGAGGGAGACAAATGGCAGTGGGGAGCTGAGGAATGCATGAAAAATAAGAAACTGCAGGCTTCCCTTTCAAGAAGTTTGGATGGGAAGATGGTAAACAAAAAATAGAGCCTTGACTATGCAGAAGGATGCAGAATAAAGACAGAGCTGTGAAGTTCAAGTTTGGGCATATCTAAAGGCCAGGGTGGAGAAACCAGTAGAGGACAGAATGAAGATCTAGCTGAGACAGGGCACAAAGAGTGGAGCAAAGGCGTGACACAGCAGGAAGGAAGGCAGTGAGTACATGGGAAGGGAGGAGGAACAGCTCTTTTTTTTTCAGAGGAGAGGAATGGAGAAGAGGATTGGTGTGGACACAAACAAGATTTGGAGGACTGTGTAGGGAGTGAGAGAACTCTTTGCCTGAAGATCACATCTTCTTTGTGAAATAGAGAAGGTCGTTTAATGAGAGTTAAGGGGAAGTGATAGATTAGCCCAAGAATAAGTGAGCTCATGGCCATTGAGAATAAGATGGATGGGAAGGAATTGAGGGCAGGAAAGGTCTAACAGAAAAGTAGATAGGAGAACCACATGAGGGTGAAGAATAGATGTGATTGGGAAGCTCTAGGGGACGACAAGCTCTAGGGCTGTGACTAAATGGCAGCAGAGGAAATGAAGGTACAAATGTTAATGAGGTTAAGAGGAATGGCTAAGGTTTTGGAAAGGTCATTGATGTGGACACAGAAGTCACCTAGGATGATGGCAGGACCTGAGATGACAAGAATCTATGAGTCAGGAAAAGCAATGCTAGCTACTATAACAAGACAAACTTACCATAATATGACTTATCATAATAAAACTCCATTTCTCACTCATGTCACAATCCAATTTGAGCCAGGCAGCTCTCCTGGCAGTTGTCCTTCAAGAAAAGACTCAGAGATTGGGGCTCCTGTGAATGACTCTGCCATCTTGGAGTTATTACTTTCTAACTAAGATAACTCTGATACAAAACATAGAAAATATAGCACAAAAAAAGGAAATATCATCTCACTTAGGAATATGGATGCAAACATTTAAATAAAATGCCACCAGTAATAAAAGAAAAATGTAGTATTACTCAGTTGAGTTTATTTTAGAGAGAACGAAAAAGGTTATGTCTATGTGGCTGAACTAGATGGAATGGAAACATTTGCTTTGCTCAACCTTTTGCAGCTCATCCAAGCATTCGTATATCATAAAGTCAGAAATATTGGTCTTCCACTTCAGAAATCAACAATGAGACAAATCTGTGAAGACACTCTGTAAATTGAAATGCACTCTGTAGGAGTGAGGAGTTTTTGAGCACACAGAGCCCCATGCTGGGTGTTGTTTACAACAAGAAATTTAGGTTATGACATGATTTCTCTTCTCATGGACCTTACCATCTGGTTGGGAAAGATAAACTGTGAAAAGATGCACACAATCTCAAGTGGTAAAGACCTAACAGAGCTACAGACAAGGAACACGATTAGAGGTGAAAGGGAACTGATATGGTTTGAATTTGTGTCCTCACACCAATCTTCATGTCAATTGTAGTCCCCAGTGGGGATTGGTGGGAGGTGACTGGATCATGGGGGTGGATTTCCCACTTGGTGCTGATTTCGTGATAGTGAGTGAATGCTCCTGAGATCAGGCTGTTTAAAAGTGTGTGGCATCTCTGCTTTCTCTCTCTTCCTCCTTCTCTGACTATGTAAGATGTGTCTGCTTCTCCTTCACCTTCTACCATGATTGAAAGTTTCCTGAGGGGAAACTGATACAGGTTTAGAATGTTTAGATCCCAAGAAGCTATAATGTTTCCTGTACAGCCTGTGGAACTGTGAGCCAATTAAACTTCTTTTCTTTATAAGTTACCCAGTCTCAGGTATTTCTTTATAGCAGTGCGAGAATGGACTAGTACAGAAAATTGGTACTGAGGAGTGGGGCATTACTATAAATACCTGAAAATCTGAAAACGACTTTGGAACTGGGTAATGGGCAGAGGTTGGAACAGTGTAGAGGGCTCAGAAGAAGACAGAAAATGAGGGAAAGTTTGGAACTCCTTAGGGACTGCTTGACTTGTGACTGAAATGCTGATAGTGATATGGACAAGAAAGTCCAAGCTAATGAGGTCTCAGATGGAGATGAGGAACTTATTGGGAACTGGAACAAAGGTCACTTTTGTTATGCATTAGCAAAGAACCTGAAGCATTGTGTCCCTGCTCTAGAAATCTGTGGAACTTTGAACTTGAGAGTGATGATTTGGGGTATCTGGTAGCAGAAATTTTTTTTTTTTTTGAGATGGAGTTTCACTCTTGTTGCCCAGGCTGGAGTGCAATGGTGTAATCTTGGCTCACCGCAACCTTGTGGAAGAAATTTCTAAGCAGCAAAGCATTCAAGTGTGACCTGGCTGCTTCTAACAGCATATGTTCATATGCATGCACAAATAAATGACCCAAAACCGGAACTTATATTTAAAAGGGAAGCAGAGCATAAACGTGTAGAAAATTTGCAGCCTGGTCATGTGATAGAAAAGAAGAGACCATTTTTAGGGGAGGAATTCAAGCAGGCTGCAGAAATTTGCATAAGTAAAAAGGAGCCAAATGCTGATAGCCAAGACAATGGGAAAAGGCTTCCAAGGGATTTCAGAGACCTTCATGGCATCCTCTCTCATCACAGGCCCAGAGGCCTAGGAGTGAAGAATGGTTTTGTGGGCCAGGGCCAGGCCCAGGACCCCACTGCCCTGTGCAACCTCGAGACACTGCTCCCTGTGTCTTAGCTGCTCCAGCTCCAGCTATGGCTCAAAGGGACCTAGGTACTCAGGCCACTGCTTCAGAAGGTGCAAGCTGTAAGCCTTGGTGGATTCCATATGGTGTTAAGCCTGCAGGTGAACAGAGTGCAAGAGTTGAGACTTGGGAGCCTCCACCTAGGTTTCAGAGGATGTATGAAAAAACCTTGCTGTCCAGGCAGAGGCCTGCTACAGGGGTGGAGCCCTCATGAAGAACCTTTACTAGGGCAGTGTGGAGGGAAAATGTGGGTTTTAGCCACCACACAGGGTCACCACTGGGGTACCACCTAGTGAGGCTGTAAGAAGAGGGCCACTGTCCTTCAGAGCCCAGAATGGTAGAGCCACCAACAGCTTTCATTGTGAACCTGGAAAAGCCACAAGTACAGTTGCAGACCCACAGAGTAAGAGCTTCCTAAGGCTCTCGGAGCCCACCCCTTGCACCAGTGTGCCCTGGATGTGAAAAATGGAGTCAAAGGAGATCATTTTGGAGCTTTAAGAATTAATGACTGCCCTGCTGGGTTCTGGACTTGCATAGGGACTGTAGCCTCTTTCTTTTGTCCAATTTCTCCCTTCTGGAATGGGACTATTTACCCAATGCCTATCCCCCACCCCCACCCACCCACCCATTGTATCTTGGTAGTAATTAATTGGCTTTTGATTTTACAGGCTCATAGGTGGAAGAGACAAGGCTTGTCTCAGATGAGACTTTGAACTTTTGAGTTAATGTTGGAATGAGTTAAGATTTTGGGGGACTGTTGGGAAGGGATGATTGTATTTTGCAACATGAGAAGGACATGAGATTTGGAGGGTCCAGAGGTGGAATGATATGGTTTGGATCTGTGTCCACACCCAAATCTCATTTTCAATTGTACTCCTCAATGTTGGAGGTGAGGCCTGGTGGGAGGTGATTTGATCATGGACACAGGCTTCCCCCTCAGTGCTGCTTTCATGCTAGTGAGTGAGTGCTTGTGAGATTGGGTTGTATAAAAGTGTGTGACATCTCCCGACTTCTCTCTTCCTCTTGCTCCAGCCATGGAAGACATGCCTGCTTCCCCTTCACCTTCTGCCATGATTGAAAGTTTTCTGAGGCCTTCCCAGAAGGTGTCATGCTTCCTGTATAGCCTGTGGAACTATGAGCCAGTTAAATTTCTTTTATTTATAAATTACTCAGTTTCACTGGGTATACATTTCTTTATAAATTACCCAGTCTCACACTTCTTTATAGCAGAGTGAGAACAAACTAATACAAGAGAGGAAATAATATCCAGGCATTGCAGAGAACCAAATCATTTCATTTTCTTCCCAGAAACAGGCTTTGTCCAGGGAAGCCAAGTGACTGAGCTGTGGCCCCTGAGATATGGGCAGAAATTATGTGCACCACCTTTAGTCTTGGCCACTAAACATCTCACTCTTATTCTTTCTCTTCCTATTCCTGATTTTTAAAATGTATTCATTCATTTAAATAATATTTATTGTGTATTTATAGGCCAGGTACTGTGCCTTCACAGGGCTTATATTGTAGTTGTTTGGTGAGCTTTCAAAACCTTTCCATTTTATTTTATCATCTTCTGAAACCTGCTTTTGAATTCGTTAATTCAACCAATTTTTTTTCTGATTCATTAATATCTGTCTTTAACTTTGTTTGTTTTTTTGTTCCTTGTTAAGTTTGTTTAATGGTTGTTTTTAAAATTCAATATGTTGGCTTATTTTTTATCTTCTCCTGTTTAATGATGAAAATATTTAAGGGTAAAATGAAGTCATGTCATGCATACATTTAAAGTTTGTTAAATTAACAATACAGCTTGAGTAGACACTTCTCTGCACCACCAATGCTATGACTTGCACAGGGGCTACAATTAAGTCAGAAAACCAACTGCAGAAGTTCCAAAACCTATGGAAAGAACATGTGAATGGTTTTAAAGTTTTCATAGCCATTGACAAATAAATTAAATGCATTATTTGTTTTAAAAAATCTGTATGGTCAGTATACTCTATGGGTGATTAAAGGCATTTTCAACATATGTATTTTACTATATGCAATTTTTACTTTATGAGCTGATTTTATAGCCAATCTTCCATATTAGAGTGACTCAAAATTTTTTATTGCTTATAATTATTTTTGTCTCTTACGTGTTTTTAGGCATAATCTTATCATTAGTGTATATACTGTGTACTATGGTTTTGATTTCTTTGAATTTTTAAAAGTTGATATAAAATATCAATCTGATTCTTTGTTTCAGAAAAATCCCAGGTTCTAGGAAGTGTTAAATAGTCTCCTGGCTTCTAAAAGTAGACAACTGGCTGTACATACACACATACACATACTCACAACTTTACAAATGGTCACACTTGCCCTTTGCTGCTTTGCTCTAGATATGCTAGAATGTGAATTAGTCATGGGATTCCTTTTGTTAGTGATTAGTTCCTTTGTTAGTGATTAGTTAGTGATTAGTTCCTTTTGTTAGTGATTGATATGGTTTGGCCATGTCCCCACCCAAATCTCACCTTGAATTGTAATAATCCCCATATGTCAAGGGCAGGGGCAAGGTGGAGATAAGTGAATCATGGAGGCAGTTTCCCCCATACTGTTCTCATGGTAGTGAATAAGTCTCATGAGATCTGATGGTTTTACAAATGGGAGTTCCCCTCCACACGCTCTCTTGGCTGCCACCACGTAAGATGTGCCTTGCTCCTCCTTTGCCTTCTGCCATGATTGTGTGACCTCCCCTGCCATGTAGAAATGTGAGACCATTAAACCTCTTTCCTTTATAAATTACCCAGTCTTGGTTATGCCTTTATCAGCAGCATGAGTACAGACTAATACGGTCATCAAATAAATGTTTCAGATATTTGTCAAGAACTTCAACGCATCTGATATTTGTACCCTATCTGCAAGCTAGTTATTCTGCCACAGTCTCATGGATGCTGGTAGAAAGCAGAAGATTCCTGGGTCAGAGACAAAGGATAGTTTATTATTCACAGCAACAGTGGTAGCCAGATTATTAGCATTTTGTATCAGTTCCTCAAGTCTCAACTTCTGGAGGGCATCAGAAAAAAGGCTAGATGATATCTGCACAAGCAGTGGGTTATGTTAAAGGAGAAGAACTCTGACCTATTTTATAATGGGCAGTAAGCATACCTGTTTTTTGCTCCAATGAGAAAAATACTTATTATACTAGAGAGCATACATGGTTGTCTTTTGCTCCAGAGGGAAACACTATCTATCTGTCAAGCTTGTTCTCTATACAAACATCCTTGAAAGGATACGCTGTAAACAAAAGGCAATCAGTGCTTCTGCCAGGTGTGCTGAAATGTTGAGAGACCCATGGAAAATTGTCTCCCAATAGTATGAATTTATGAAATTTAAGAAAACTACCCTTAAAGTTCAACTCACCAAATGTTATGCTATTTTTATATTTTTAAAGTATGTAAAGCAACAGAACTATTTGAAAAATCAGGCACCAATATCATATTGTTTCAATAAAGTCTTGCAGCAAGAAAGCTAAATAACTCAATATGAATGAAAACATTATAATTTTTAAAAGTAATGACACTACACTTTTCCTAGGCATTTCTTTCAAAGAAAGAAAGAATATTTTCTTTAACATAAAAATGTGGCCAGGTGCAGTGGCTTATGATTTTAATCCCAGCATTTTGGGAAGCCAAGGCAGGAGGATCACTTGAGCCCAAAAGTTTGAGACCAGCTTGGGCAACATAGTGAGACCTCGTTCCTACATAAAGTAAAAAACTGAACATGTTGGCATGTGCCTATGGTCCCAGCTAATTGGGAGGCTGAAGTGGGAGGATCGCTTGAGCCTGGGAGGTCGAAGCTGCAGTGAGCTGTCATTACACCACTGCACTCCAGCTGGGGCGACAGAAGGAGACCCTGTCTCAAAACAAACAAACAAACAAACAAAAACAAAAAAACACATATACAAATGTATGAAATATTCTTTTGTTTGAGAAGTGAAATGGAGAGGGAAAGACCTATAATAACTCTATTTCTCAGAAGCAGCATGAACAGCATGTATTTTCATGAACAGCACACAACTAGGGGTGTTGCCATGTTGACATGTGCAAAATAACTACCATATTATGATAATTTTAGGCTGATACAGTCCTCTTTATGATGAGAAAAATTATCATAAATCTTAAAAGTATATACATTCTCTGTAAGTAGTTTTAATTGATGACCAAAATTTTTGCCATTTATGCAGCAATTTTGTTTCTCTTTCCTAGTCACAGTTAATACCACCTACCATTTTTTGTGCACCTAATGTTCAGGTACTTTGCATATGTTATCTCATTTGAATTTTAATTAAGGTATATGACAGAACAGAGACACAGAGATGGAGGAGCTAGGATTCAAAGACTGATCTACCTGCCTGCAAAACTGGTATCTTTCTATTATTTTGTTCTGTGTTATTGTTACCTGGGCCACCTTTTTCCTTGGGATATGGGTTTCCAACAAGATCTTGAAGCATGACCCTCCACATTGCTAAATCACCTGCCTTAGTTCCCTTCACCTGGGAATGCTGAGATTCTCAGCTCACTCTTTCATAACTCAGAGACTTCACAGAATCTTAGAGATGAAAAGGATTCCAACAATCTCCATCCCATAGAGGCCCCAGAGGATGCCCATATATTTTTTTCTGACAGTGATTTTTGTTGGAAGTTCTTATAACTAGAATTTGTGAAATGTTGCTTTTAAACAATTGCAAATTGTTTTCAGTTTGTTCTCTAGACTACTTCCTCTTCTAGAGAACCTTTTACGAAATCCAAGAAAAATGCTTCCAGAGAAACATAGTAACAAGAGACAATAATCTAGGAGGTTGGTATAATTATATCTTTAAATATATTATTAAATATTACAATATAGCTACTCACTTCTCAATTTCTGATTAAAGTTAAATCATGCCAATAAATCACTCTAAATTATTTGCAGCTGAAAGGGGTTGGGGCTGACTTGAGTGAAATGCTTATTGGTACTGATCTACTTTCTATTATTCATCTAACACAGTTATTAGTTCTAGCAGAAATTCAATATTTTAGTTTGAATGTTTTGGCCCCTCCAAATTAATGTACTGGAATCTTAATCCCCAATGCAATCGTGTTGAGAGGTGGGGCTTAATGAGAGATGTTTAGGCTGTGAGGACTCTACCTTTATGAATGATTGATGCAACTACCAAAATAACTTTCAAGAGTGGGTTCTCTCTCTTCTGCTCTCCTGTCATGTAAAGAAGAGAGTTTCTCCCCTCTGGAGGATGCAGCATTCAAGGCATCATCTTGGCAGTGGAGACTGGACCCTCCTCAGACACCAAACCTATTGGTACCTTAATCTTAGACTTTCCAGCCTCCAGAACTGTGAGAAATAAATTTCTGTCCTGTACAAATTACCTAGTCTTGCATATTCTGTTACAGCAACACAAAACAGACGAAGACTCTCAATATCAAATCAATGTTGGTTAAGCATTTTTTAATTTTCCATGGAGATGTTATTAGTTTTATTTACATTTGCACATTAAACTGTCTGGTAGAATTAACAGATGGTCTGATCAGTAATTGTCCTTTCCAGAAGCCACCACTAATGGCTGTTAACACTCTTTCTTCTCTACTCACCTACTTTTATCCACTGGAGTACTTTTTAAAGCAATTATACCTCAAATATACTTCATTTCCTCAGATCCAAGACAAAGTATCAAGTAATTCAAAAGTCTCACTTAGCAAGACTGTTTTTCTTTTATATTTTGGAATTATACCTGGCATATTTTTGTATTTCAGGCAATTGGAAGGGATTGAATAGTATCCCATACAAAGTAACGTGCACCCAAACTTTAAAATGTCATGTTTTTGCCAGTAAGGTCTTTGTAGATATAATTTGTTAAGGATCTTAAGATGAAATCATCCTGGATTTAGGTTGAATTTTAAATCCAATAACTGTTGTCCTTGTAAGAAGAGATGACATAGAGGGACACACAGGAAAGAAGGTGATGGGAAACTGGAGGCAGATATTGGAACTACGCTACCACAAGCCAAAAAACTCCAAGACATGCCAGCAACACTAGAAACTAGTAGAGAAGCATGGAATGTTTTTCCCTTAAAGCTTCCAGAAGGAACTAACCTAACCCTGCTGACACCTTGATTTTGGAAGTCTGGCCTCCAGATGTGTGAGAGAATAAATTACTAGCATTTTAAGCCACCTAGTTTGTAGTAATTGGTTATGGCAGTACTAAATCTTTAAGAAACAATCTTTATTTTATACGAACTACTATAGAAAAAAAGAAAAAAATTATTTAGTTTATTTATACATTTAGTATAATTTTGATAATAAAATAAGAGTAATGCAAGATAAAAATAGTAGGTCAATTATACTTATAAATATTATTTCATAAAAATATTTGCAAATCAAGTCCAGCAACACACAAAACAAAAAGATAGTAAATGGTTCAACATTTAAGACCTATGAATATATGACATTAACATTGTAAAGAAAAAAATTATAAGGTAATCTTAAAATATGTAAAAAAAAAAAGAGATAAAATTCAACACTCATTTTTCCTGAACATGTCCATTGATGTGCGTATTTCCTTAATATGTACTACCAATTACTAAAGGACAAGTTCAACCAAATATTTAATAAATAATAATTTCAATTTTACAAAAACTCTTTTAGGTTATAGAAGAGGAGGAAACATCCCCAAACTTATTTTATAAGGTTAGCATAATCTTGATAGCAAAACTAGGCAAGGACAGCATAAAGTAGAAAACTTACAGACCAGTCTTATTCATGAACATAGATATAAAAATCCTAAACAAAATCTTATAAAGCCAAATTATATAATGTATAAAAAAGTAAATATTTTATTATCAAGTTGAATTCATTTCAGGAATACAAAGTTGATTTAATATTAGAAAGTTAAATTATGTTATTCACCCCACACATAGTAAAGAATTCAACTTTGTCCGAAAAGAAGTCTGGTCTTTGTCCTTGGCTTCTGAGAGGTGATGGGTAAATTGATGGAATATCATGGTTGATAGGAGTGTCTTTGTTTGGCTGTGAGCCTTGGGTCACCAGATTGTCTAAAAATATGATTTAAGATGGAGAATGGCTACACCAGAAAGACCAGAAATGTGATTTAGCGTGGGGGATTTGGGTCATGTCTGGAGAGGGTGGAGGCTGAAGATTGAAATCAGCCACATTGGCAATCGCCCATGTCTACATCATGGAGCCTCAATAAAAAGTCTGAACACCTGGCTCTGCTGAGCTTTCCTCATTAGCAATATTTTGTGCACATTGTTATACTTTGATATTTGAAAAGTAATGTGTCCAGGACTCCATGGAGAAAGAAAAACAGAAGCTACATGTTTGATACTTTTCCTGGACTCTGCTCTAGGTGCCCCTCCTTGACTGACTTTAATCTGTATCCTTCCTGTAATACACTCTAACCTGGATTATAACAACTTTTAGTGAGTTCCAGGAGTCCTTGTGGATTAGGTAACCTGAAGGTGGTTTTAGGAAGCCCCTAAACTTGCAATTGCTGTCAAAAGTGAGGACAGTCTTGCGTGGACTATGCCACCTCAAACTGTGCAGTTGGCTAACCAACTCATGCCCCATTAACATATTTCTTTTTTTTTTTTTTTTTTTCAGATGGAGTCCCACTCTGTCTCCCAGACTAGAGTGCAGTGGCACGATCTGGGCTCACAGCAAACTCTGCCTCCTGGGTTCAAGTGATTCACCTGTCTCAGCCTCCCAAGTAGCTGGGATTACAGGCACCTGCCACTGCGCCCAGCTAATTTTTGTATTTTTAGTAGAGATTGAGTTTCACCATGTTGGCCAGGCTGGTCTTGAATTCCTGACCTTGTGATCCACTCACCTCAGCCTCCCAAAGTGCTGGGGTTACAGGCGTGAGCCACCGCACCCCGCTGCACCATTAACATATTAAAGAATGAAAGCTATATAATGAGCTAAGTAGACACATTGTATTAGATAAAATTTAATATCCGTTTATGGTTTAGAAAATCTTAAGCAAACTAATAATGGAAGAAAAATTTCTTAAACGTGTAAATATTATCAAAAAACTACAGCAATATTATACTTAATGGTGAAAAATTTTAAGTTTAATATAAAATAGGTAAAGATGTTTATTATTACTACATTTGTTTAACACTCTACTAAATGGCCTAGATGGTATAGTAATGTGAATAAAAAAGTAAAATAAAAGGAATTAGGAGTTAGAATGAAACAAAACAAACTGGTCATTATTTATGGGTAGTATAATTGTCTACAAAATAAAAAGGAAATTGCATTTTTATACACCAGCAATGATCAGCTAAAAATGTTATTAAAAAGATTATACTATGTAAAACATTCTTACCTCTACGTTTGTTTGCATTTGTCAAAATTCAACAAATTGTGCACTTGTATTTGTCTATTTTACTGTATGTATATTTACCTCAAAAATGAACTGTAAACAAATATTTAAAAAGTAAAAAACTTTAAAAATATTTATACTATTTTAAATTACAATAAAAATAAATATTTTATCCAAGAGAAAAAAAATCTAGTGGGAGATGTGTAAGCCCATATCTGGTAAAAATTATAAAGCTTTATTAAACGACATTAAATAAAACCTAAACAAATGAAGAGATATACCATATTCATGGATAGTCAGATTTAATATTGTATTGACATTAATTTTCATGAATTGATTAACACTCCTAGAATCCCAACATCACAAGTTGATTTTAAAATTTATATAGACTAGCAAAGGACCAAAAATAACCAAGACAGTTCTAAAGAACAAGATGGGAACTTGTATGATCAAATATCAAACTTTATTATAAAGCTATAGTAATTAAGACATTGTATATGGCACAAGGAAAGGTAAATGGAACATCATAGAGAGCTCAGTACTAGACCTACACACACATATATATAGACCATAGTCAATGTTAAGGAGAAAAAAAATCCAAGGAAGAAGGGGGAAGGAAGGGAAAATAGTTGAAAGAAAAATATTTGGCTCAGTATATATACATTTAATCACAGTCAAAATGATTTTTCTTAATATTTATGAAATAGAGGGGCATAACATATGGATAAATCACAGTTCAGTTTTCGTACTGCAGGGTCTCTTTTCTTTCTTTTTTTCTTTCTTTCTTTCTTTCTTTCTTTCTTTTCTTTCTTTCTTTCTTTCTTTCTTTCTTTCTTTCTTTCTTTCTTTCTCTTTCTTTCTTTCTTTCTCTTTCTCTCTCTCTCTCTCTCTCTTTCTTTCTTGACAGGGTCTTGCTCTGTTGCTCAGGCTGGAGTGCAGTGGCACAATCTTGGCTCACTGCAACTTCCACCTCCCAGGTTCAAGTGATTCTCCCACCTCAGCCTCCTGAATAGCTATGATTATAGGCGCACACCATCATGCCTGGCTAATTTTTGTATTTTTTGTAGAGATGGGGTTTCACCATGTTGGCCAGGCTGGTCTTGAACTCCGGACCTCAGGTGATTTGCCCACCTCTGCCTCTCAAAGTACTAGAATTACAGGTGTGAGCCACTGCGCTCAGCTGATTTTCCAAGCTTAAGATTCGTGTATGAATGCAAAGTCATATATCCATGAAGCCAGAGCTGCCAAGGAATATTCTGCGGGTTTCTTTGTAGTTCAAGGTCCTAGTAATGAACAACTATGAGTCATATTGTATTGTTATGAACTTTGTGAATGTGAACTAATATGAAAAAAGTGCTGTCCAGTTTTTTCACAACTATATACACAACTATATACAATATTCTCTGGAATTGAGACAATTAATTCTTTATATTTTCATCTTTTTTGTTAGATCAAATGCACCATTGTAACTCAATATTCAGAAAGTTTCTACTCAAAAACAGTTTCAGGGCATAGTCTACTTCTATGCATTTAGGGGAGTACTTTAAATTTTCTTTCATTACGCTAATAAATTTTCTGTTGTTCGTCATTCTCCTATGGCATTCATTTTCAGAATGGAAAGATTAACAGAATATTTCTCCAAGGCAATACTGACTTTATTTTAGGTTGCTTTATTTTATAGTGTCAAATAAAATAAATAAATCAGTGTAAAAAGTTATATATATATAATGATATATTAATATGAATAATTGATAATGTGTAAGAATTGATTTCCAGAATTGAGTCTGGTTGGGCCACACTCAAAATTGGTCCTTTTACATCTTTTTAAAAATCTTATCCACTTTATGGAAGATATCTTGGAATATATAAATGAATAGAAGTTTCTACAACATTATTTGGAATCTTCCAAAGAATGACTGGTTTCATTCTTATTTAATATTTTAATAAGCATAAGTCAACCACTTCAATAGGTCCTACAAAGTTATAGTTGGAGTTGTACTAGTTATAGATGTGTGGTTGTTAGTCATATTAGATAGTGCTTCTTGGGCCACTTGGGATAAAATCTAATGCAGAGTAAAATTTTCAAAAGGATTATTTCATTCCAAATGAAGAGTTCAGCTCATGTGTAGACTCTATTTAGAAAAACGATTAAATGAATAACTACAATTGCTTTCTTCTTACAGTTACTCTTAAAATGCTGTGAAAGATTTTATCATTGATTTTGCACCAAATGTTTTTGCAAGATTTTCTCACTGGAGTTTTGTACCTGCAGCCACAAGCTAGTGTTTTAGAGAGTTAAATAATGTGTGGGGTAATCTACATTTGTTATTATTAGATGGCCACTATTGCAAGTGGCTTTATTTGATAGCATCATAACTGATTACCTGAAAATGTGAGCCAATAGCTGACCCTTCAAGAAAAAATCAATTTGCAATTTTCACTGTCCACACTTCTGCCAGCTAACAAATCAACTGCAGATCTCTGTTCAGCCCCAAAAGGCACTTAAAATGGGAAATGAAATAGCCTTAAGTTTCCTCCAGGATGATCCCATTTAGCCACCAACAGAGAGGAAGTGGACTAGATGACAGAAGGGCAAAATTTGTTTAAGGGAATAGGGAAAGATTTAATGAAAATCCAAAGACCCACAGGAAAGGGATAAACCTTCCCACTTCAGTGGCTGGCCCCAAAAATCCCAGTTAAAAATAATGGAGCTTTACTGAACGTCACCCAGATTGTTTTAACCCAGTGCTGGTATACCCTCTCAATACTGTCCTGATCTTCCTTCTCCCTGCTCTGTTTTCCTTTCAACCACAGGCTTCTGCTCTTCTGGGTCCAGTTTGTTTTTCACTTTTTGATTGTTTCTGAGGAATTTTAACATCATAGGATTTATTGGCCATTTGAATAGCCTCTTGTGATTTGCTCTGACTCATTGTTCTACTGAATTGTTAATCTTTTCTTATTAATTTGTAGAAGTTATTTATATATTTGAGGTAAGAGACTTTTAACTTTTGTTTGTGTTGTAAATATTTTCTTCCACTCTGCTCTTCCCTTTTCGTTTTTAAAGGTGTCTTTTGGCAAACAGAAGTTAATAATTTCAATGTACGTATGTGGCTTGGTTCCTTTATAGTTAGCGTTTCTTATGTCCTATTTTAATTCTTTTCTTACTCTAAAATCATGAAACTATTCTCCTACTGTATCATCTTAATATTTTTTGCTTTTTTCTTTCATATTTATGCCTAAAAATTTAAAATTAATATCTATTTATTGTGTCAGGCAGGGGTCAAATTTTTTCTTAATATGGATATTCAATTGTCCCAATATTATTTATCAACAAGATCCCTTTCTCCCCACTGGTCTATGATACCACCTTTCTCATAAATCAAGCACCCATGTGTGGTTAAGTCTGTTTTTGGCTCTCTTTCTATTTCATTGGTTAACTTGTCTATCCTTATAATCCTCATCCAATCTCTTAACTTGTGCCAATGTATTACTACCGAAGCATTATAGTCTTGATAATCAGAATCCACTGTTACTCGTGTAAAACATTTCTTAGCTATTGACCCTTGGAATTTCTAGTTAAATGTAGACTCACTTGTCAAGTTTCATTTAAAAAAAAATAATCAAAGGTGTTTACATTGGATATCTAGATCCATCTGGGAAGAATTATCCTTTACAATTTGATTTCTGCAATCCATGAATTAGTCTTTTCTATCAGTTAGAGTATTTAGGTCTTATTTTTTTTATCTTAATAGTGTCTTATAGTTTTTGGCATGGTGGCCTTGCATATCTTTTGCTAGACTTATTTTTAGTTATTTGATATTTTTGAAGCTGTTATAAATAACATCTTTTTGTTTTTTTTATTGCTTGTATAGAAAAATTCAAATAAATTTTTAAATATTGTTTCTAGTAACTTTGCTAAACTCACTTATGAATTCTTTTGATTTGGCTGTAGGTTCTTTTCAACTGTCAGCCTAAAATAATAAAATGTTAAGAATCTAATTTAAGGATAGTTGATTCAAGAGCAACATTTGAAGATAGCCTACCTGGAAACACCAACTGCAGAGGACTAGAGTAAGTATGCCGAAGTAAGGAACTTAAGGTTTCATTTATGTAGGCAGAGACAGGGAGTTTTTAGGAGGATTACAACATTTTTCCATATAAGGTTGGTGCATAGTTACAGCAATTTGATTGGTTATAGGCTGTGTTTATTCTGGGAAGGGTACATTTAACTTTTTTTTTTCTTTCTTTCTTTTTTTTTTTTCCAGAGGGAGTAATAGTCATGAGTTTTCTGTCATCTTATCTAGCAAATCAAGACAAAAATGGGGAAGTTAATCTATAACAAGGGTCATTAATGAAGAAGGCAGGAGGTTTTGTCTTTGGCATTGTTTAATTCTCTCTAGTCATTGCACAGAACAAGAAAAACAAGAAAGCAGGTTAATCTATAATCTGAGAATAGAGGTTGTAACTACATGTGATTCAGATCACAGTCACATATCTCTCAAAGCCTAAAATATTTTCAGGGTTCCAAGAGCTTTTAAATTTTATTTATTTTCACACAGTTTTCCACAGATATAATCATATTTGTGAATAATGATGTTTTATTTCTTTATTTCCAATAACTTTGTCATTTATTTATTTTTCTTTCATACTGCACTGGCCAGGGCCTTCGGTGTCCTTCAATTTTGCACATTGAATAAAAGTAGTAATAAAAGACAATGCTTGTCTTGTTATAAATCCTAAAAAGAAAGCTTTCAACATTTTACTATTAAGCATGATATTCATCAAAGGTTCTTTTGTAAATATCCTTAATTAGGTTAAGAAAATTCCCTTATAGTTCGAGTTTGCTAAGAGTGTTTGTTTTTTCAAATCATGCTTGGGTATTGAATTTTACTAATTTTTTTTGTGCAACTATTGAAGTGACATGTAATTATTCTCTTTCATTCTTTGACTGATTTTTTCACATAAGACCAAAATACAAAATTGCATTCTTGGAGTAAACCCAGTGTGGTCATGAATTTTTTTTTTCACTACATATTACTGGATTCTATCTGCATCACTAGAGTATAAGTTTCATGAAGGCAGAGTTTTCTGTCTGTTTTGTTGTTGTCATTGTGTGTTTTACTGCCCTGTCTCTATGGCATATTTATTGGATGAATGAATAAAGAAATCAACAAATTTCCCCAGGATTGTGACAGCCTCTATTCTGGCTGTGAATAGAGAGCCCTGAGCTTCTGGCTACCTGTTATGGGGCCATTTCTCTTGGCTGCACAGAGCTCCAATCTCCTCAGGATGGGGTACTATATTCACCCCACTTTCTGGACAGCATATATCCAAACAACTCAGGAATCAAGCCTTGCCTCTCTTGGTTCCTCACAAACACAGCTTTGCCTCTCTGCCTGTTCCCCATCCTGTTCATGTGTTGAGACCCCCTAAATTTGTATATCCAAGATTTAGCAGAGCAATGACCACTCACTTACTAGTCGTTAGTGCAACTCACACAATTGGCACAGATGCCTAGGGGCCTGAAAATAAGACTTGGAATTCCATACTCTGGCAAAAACTCTAATTTGTTTGGTGGCACTCACGCCTAAACCTGGTCTCTGAATGGGCTACAAGAACGGAGGCATAAGTCTTTTATCAGGAATCATGAAATAGGGAGAACCAAGACTCCAGCACATAGACATCACCAGATAATAAATAGACGCTCACCTATTTTCCTCTCTCAAAAAGCATAAGAAATGTTTTCTGATATTAAGCAATTCATTTCCAAACATTTTAAAGTTAATGAGAAGAATAAATCTCATTTTTAAGTGGTCAATGTACCATGAAGTTAACAAGCTAATTAAGAACAAAAACAACATGAGCTATATTATGGTTTCTTTACTGGGGACATTGTGATTATAACTGTAAAAAAAATTAAATCCATAAACAAAATACTTGACTTTAAGTTGGCTTAGAAGGTCACAGAGCTCTTCATGACTCCACTTCTGCCCACCTCTTCAGGTATCTTTTACTTCAGGGGGTTTTGCAATTCATTCCAGTTCTTCAACAAACTAGGTTTTCCCCGCTCTAGAACTACACAAACACCCATACCTCTTCTTTCCAGTCAGAATCTTTCCAGTCAGGATCTTTGTCTGGCTAACTGCAACATATCAGAGAACTCAAATGTTACTTCCTCTTAGAAGTACTCCCTGATGGCCTGGCGTGGTGGCTTATGCCTGTAATCCCAGCAGTTTGGGAGGCTGAAGCGGGCAGATGACTTGGGGTCAGGAGTTCGAGACCAGCCTGGCCAACATGGTGAAACCCCATCTCTACTAAAAATACAAAAATTAACTAGGCATGGTGGTGCGCACTTGTAATCCCAGCTACTTGAGAGGCTGAGGCAAGAGAATCGCTTGAACCCAGTAGATGGAGGCTGCAGTGAGCCAAGATTGCACCACTGCACTCCAGCCTGGGTAACAGAGTGAGACTCTGCCTAAAAAAAAAAAAAAAAAAAAAAAAAAGCACTCCCCGACAAACTCCCCACCTCCACCCCCAAAATACGAATGTCTTCTATAATACACTTGTATAGTACCTTGAATTTTTCTCAGTATATTACTCATCAAATTTTACTTAATTCCTTGTCTTCCCTAGAAACAGTAAACTTTCAGGTAAGGGACCATGCTCTCTTGCCCATAGTTGAATCCCCAGGCCATGGAGTGAAACCTAGCACGTTTCAGGGGTTCAATAAATATTTATTGAAGAATGAATGAATTAAAATCTTAAGCTGCCTTATATTCCTAAATTATTGGTGTTTACCATGCACCTTTCCAAACTGACCTAGAGCTAGTTACAGAAGCCTGGTGTCTGCAGCCTGAAGAACTCTGAGAATGACATTTCCACTAGATGAGGTTAGCTGATTTAGTACTAAGATCCCTTGCCCAGTTCTCCATAAGAAGCCAACTGCCTGGGTTTGAATCCCTGCCTCACTGCATATTAGCCATGTAACCTTGGACAAATGACTTAACTTCTGTGTGCTTTGACTTCCTCATGGTTAAATAGATGACGTTAGTACCTCTCTCATAAAGTTGTTTTTGAAGAATTAGAGGAATATGATACACTGCTTGTCACATGATATGTGCCTAATGAATGCCATTCACTGATTTAACAGCAACTTATGGGGTAATCGGAGTTCCAGCAGAGGATCCCTAGGGGAGGGGATATTCAGTTCTCTTGTAAACAGGTAGTGGGAATCGCACTGCTGAAGCAGGGAGGTTTCAGTTACCTCACCTGAAAACAGAGTTGGGGCTACTGAATTCCCCACAGTCTAAAACAGATCCTGATCTCCAAAGAGGGGAAAGATATATATATTTAAGGAGACATGATGCCTCCTCTTTGAATTTCTAGTTCAACATGGAAAGACTGAATGTAAACAGGGGGTAAATCCTCAAAAAGATGAACTTCCTCCCTCATCATCTTACTCCAGTGAACTCTGTTGAAATAGCAGTAACCATAGGCATACCTGTGGACTGTTTGTTGCCTAGGCTCTCCTAGCCAGCATGCAGAATAGAGAGGACAGTAGTTGTTCAAATGGGTAGAAGATAGCAACAGGAGCATGTGGGGTACATTAGTGTCTCACGCTGTGGGTCCGCCAGCCTAATTCCTATCCCATGCCCGCTTTTCGCTAGCCACCTTCTGGCCAGGGTGGCTTTGTGACACAGCTCTGACGGATAAGATAAAACAATGTCTATGTGCTGGGGTCTCTGGGAAATTTTTTGTTTTCCTGATAAAAAAGCAAAAAATGGGCTAACATGACTCATTTTGCCCTTTGTTCTTCCCCCTTCTCCCTGCCTGGAACATGAACAGATGTGATGTTTCAAAATGTAGCAGCCACCTTACAACCACAAGGCAGCAAATATGAAGACAAATGCCTCCAAGCCAAGGATGGTGGTGAAGGAGTGGTAAAGACAGACGAGCCTGGGTCCCTGATACATTAGGGAGCTATTTTCCCAGCCCTGGACTGCCTACCTCCCTGGCTTTTGTGTTGTCTGAGACAAATAAATGTCTTTTTGTTTAGCTGAGTATTGGTTGGGTTTTCTTGCCTTGGAATGGATTCCTGAGAAATAAATATAGCATGCAGCCCAAAGCTTTACACGATGTGAACCTTAATTGCAACATTTACCACAGTATCTTATAATCACAGTTTTATTTCTTTTTTAGTAGTCATGACTTTTTTGTAGGTAGGACTTTGGGCTTATTTATTTCTATATCTACAGCATATACTAGGCATTCAGTAGAAGTTAGATGAGTGAACCCACTTCATTTGATAAATTGTGATGAGTGAACTTGCAAATCAGAAACCAGTGCTATGGAAAGATTTCCCCAGGTGTCTGGTTCAGTCAGGAGAAGGGTGACGCTCCTGTAAGGAAACCAGGTATACCCAAGAGAAATAAAAACTCATGAGTCATCACATGGACTTTTGTGGTTTCTTTTATTTCTGGGTGCATTATGACAAAAACAAATAAAATATGCTAATACATTTTAAAAACAGACATTTTTTTCCTGATAATGAAAACACATGCTCTTCTCAAACATAAAATTAACCTTAATAGGAGAAGGAGTGATAGGAAAAACAAAACAGAGAAAAGGGCAGGATAATTTTTCTCTCCTTATTAACTTGCTGCTCACTCATGGAATGAGCTTTTCTTTTACCAGAAAAATCTAGGCATTTGTGTTGAAGACTCTAGAGCAATGACTGATTAAGAAATGCTCGCTCTTGATCTTATCGGCTGTATTCAGGGAATGTTCAGTGGCTGTGTCACGTCGCAGATGTGCTTGCAAAGGTTATTCCTCAGGACTGTGTCTTTCCCCATCTGCCTTCTCTGTTGCCTGTGGCTGATTCCATTTTCTTTAGCATCACAAAGCTCCTGAGCCAATTTACCCAAAGGCTTTTTGTCATTTGTATTTCAGCTGCCACTTCTCTATGCAGTTTCTATTTTAAAATGCTTATATAATAACTTTGGGTCTGCTAGGGTCTTTTGCCTCTGAAGATTTTAATCAGATTGGCTTGAATACCCATTTTATGCCCTGTGGAAAAACCCACTGTCTTCTCCAAGATGTCTCCTAATTCCCAGGAGACTTCCACTGTTCTCATGGACACGCCTGGCTTCCACTTGTTACTGCTGATGAATTTGTGCTTTCCACTCTACCTGGACTAATACCTTATTTTTACTTTGAATCAGCAGAATTGTGGAACTTTGTCCCTTTATCTCATTTGTATTTCTGATTTGAATAAATCAACTGATTTATAGCTCTAAATACAAATAACATGGAACACTTCTAAGTACGGTGTAAAACTTTGGTGGATATGTTTTAAGCACACTATAGTTGGCACTGGCATGCCAGAAATGCTCCAATGACCAGTTACAATAGGTGATGGAGAGGTAACCTTGCACAAGAGAGCCACAGTCCTTGTCCCTGCAGAGCGGCAGACAGAAACGCAGGAACCAGTGAGGAATGGAAGTGCCAGGGTAGGATACGGGAGGCCACGGGAGCCAGGAACACTCTGTGCACTATGTCAGCACATGGTTGTGAAAGAGGCTGTGTAGTACTGTTTCTTATGCTGATCAAACAACTCAGCTGAGTTGTAATCTCACTCAAGTTCACTATTTCTTATGTATTGGATTTCTTTACTATGTAATTTCTGCTTAGAAGCTCTAATAATTCGATCAATCTTGGAAAATCTAACCACTAGTATATTAGCACCATCAAAAATCATGCATGTTGTAGAGAAGTTGGTTATTATGATATGTACTTATATGTTCCCAGAAAGAAAAATGCTCCAAGTTTTGTAGCAAAACTTGATTTTCTTAAAACCTTAAGTAAACACAGGATAGACCTTATGTCTTTGTATGAATTATCTTTTTTCAGTTTTAACTTATGAGCAAATGGCTAAATTTTTTTCTTCTTCGTCTTGCCAGCTCTCTGTGTGTGTGTTTTGATAAAGGTGGGCTTTAGGGCCATCTAGTGGCTTCTTGAATAGGAAATTCTAAAAATTACCATTAAGCTGAATAGGAAAACCCCCACCTTCTCTCACCAAATATTCTCTCTTTAAATTTGTTACATATTAGCTCTTAGGAGTTTAAAGACAGATATTGGAAAACTTGTGGTAGTTCATATATATTCTTTTTCTTTTTCCAAATGAAATGTTACCATATTTGCATTTCCTTTCAAATAACATGAACACTGTAATGACCCATGTGCGTTCTTGGATTTTTGAGCACTGATGGAATGCTGGCATCTTGTGGATTGGTTATGAAGTTTTAGTCTATCCTGGCAGCTTTGAAGTTTATAGCCTCAACCTTTGTATCTTTCATAATATCCAGTTCAAAAAAAAATCAGCCTAGGCCTTCACATTTATGCAGTGTCTGATGATTTTAAGGTTGTGAAAGGAAAATAAATCTCAGGACCCCAATCACTAAGCCAAAAAGAAAAGTCAAGCTGGAAACTTCATCAGGCAAACCTGCCTCCCATTTTATTTCTAAGTAAGATAACTACAAAGATTTTTAAAAGCTATATACCTCCTTCACCTATAAAATACAGATTCATTGAGCCAGACTAAGGCTTAAGTAACTATTCCTCTACCCGAGTCTCACATGCAGATTGTGTATTCAGTGAAAGGCTGATCAAAGACTCAAAAGAATGCAACCATTTGTCTCCTATCTACGTATGATCTGGAAGCCCCCTATACAAGTTATCCCGCCTTTCCAGACTGAGCCAATGTACATCTTACACATATTGATTGATGTCTCATGTCTCCCTAAAATCTATAAAACCAAGCTGTACCCCAACCACCTTGGGCACCTGTCACCTGGACCTCCCAAGGTTGTGTCACAAGTGTGTCCTTAGCCTTGGCAAAATAAACTTTCTAAATTGATTGAGACCTGTCTCACATGTTTTTGGTTCACAGGTACAGACTTCTCCTTTCAATAGTTACAGACTTCTGAATGCAAGATTTTGGAGCTGTCAAAAGCTGGTTCCCCAAAGAGCTTAACCACTGACCCCAACATAACCCACTGACAAGACAAACCATAGTTTATTACTTACCTTGGTAAGGGTGGGCACCACCTCACAAACTTTGGGATTGTTTCCGAGTGGGGGGAAGAAACCCCAACTTATTGGAAAATGAAAGTGTGATTTCAGGTGGGTCTTTAAAAATGGGGTTCAGGATTGGGTAAGGATCAGGATACAATAGTCCAAGACTGATGGCTAAGGCGAGGGATTCAAAGAATCTTACGTGCAAGCTGTTGGTTGACGTTTTCCACTGAAGAGAGGATGAGTCTTTTGGGAAGTTCCTGTAGTGAACATTCAAGCCATATGCCTGGGCAGAAGACTCCTGAAAAAATAAAGTTATGTTGGTGAAGTCAGAGGAATTGCGAAGTCTTGCTAATATAGATGTAGATGTGTTTTCAGTTCTCACTGTTCAGACTATCAGGTAGACAGTTTTGGTTCTTAGAGGCCTTCCACAATTATGATGCCTACACAAAATCAAAGCACAAAGCAGTGTTCCCTGTAAAAAATATAAATTCTGAGAGAAATGATACATCAAACTATTAAGAATGTTTCATTCTTTAGAGTGACTATGTTTTAGGATTGCTTTCCTTCAGGATATTTAAACAAAAACAGTTCTCTGAAGGAATAGACACAATTTTGATAAGTATAATGATGGTCAAAGGTAGAGAAAATCAAGCATAGAAAATTGGCAGATAGGTAAGATGCCATAATTCAACGTTATGGGGCCGCCAGCCAGAATACAATGGACTCCTGAACCCAGTATTTTGTACATACTAAAGAATGTTATGAAAGAGACAGTAAGCAGAAAGCAAAATACTGACTTCAGTTTTGCACATGCATAACTTTTGTGTATTAGTCCGTTCTCTCACTGCTATAAAGAAATACTTGAGACTGAGTAATTTATAAAGAAAAGAGGTTTAATTGGCTCATGGTTCTGCAGGCTATACAGGCTTCTGCTTCTGGTGAGGCCTTGGGAAACTTACAATCATGGCAGAAGGTGAAGGGGAAGCAGGCACGTCTTACATGGCTGGAACAGGAGGAATAGAGAGAGTGGGGAGGTGCCACACACTTTTAAACAACCAGATCTCATGAGAACTCTATCACAAGAATGGCACCAACGGGGAGGGTGCTAAACCATTCATGAGAAACTGTCCCCATGATCCAGTTACCTCCTACAAGGCCCCACCTCCAATTGGGGATTAAAATTTGACATGAGATTTGGGCAGAGACATAGATCCAAACTATTACTTCGTCCTCTCGTTGATTCAGTTCAGTGTTTTAACCTAACTGAATATGTATTATGCAAGTACATAATGGTAAAACTAGCAGGACTCTCTCTCATCTGACCTCTAATCTGATGACTACATTCTATTCTATCAGCTTCATTTTTTTTTCTTTATTTTCTTTTTTGTTGTTAGAGACAGGGTCTCACTCTGTCACCCAGGCTGGAGTGCAGCAGTGGTACAATCATGCTTACCGCAGCCTTGACCTCCCAGGCTCAGGTGATCCTCCTACCTCAGCTTCCTGAGCAGCTGACACTACAGGCATGTGCCACCACACCCAGCTAACTCTCATATGTTTTGTAGAGACAGGTTTCACCATGTTGCCCAGACTGGTCTTGAACTCCTGAGCTCAAGAAATCCACCTGCCTCAGACTCCCAAAGTATTGGGATTACAGGTGTGAACCACCATGCCCAGCTATCTGCCCCATTTCTGAAGTTAATATGATTTTTCCTACAATCCTCTTCCCAACTTCATCCATGAAGAAACTAACCATGTGGTGAAGTAGAATGTGTCGGACTTTGAGGACTTATAGTCGTCATCATAAGGATGTCATTTACAGCCATATAACCAGATTCAATTACTGAAAGAGTGAGTATAGGTGCAGAGAGATATCCAAGGTATGGACCCTGGAATACTTCAACATTTAGAGGTCTGGAAAAGGAAGATCTAGCAGATAAGATGATGAAGGGAGAAGAGGAGAATACCAATGACCGTAAAAAACACAGTTTCCTATAATGGTCCTTCATTAATTCAGAGGTCATTCTTTCCATAAACATAGATTTCTCCCATACCCTATTCAATGCAGTTTCTGCCTCACACACTTCAAACCACAGGATGTATATGGAAGTATCAAAAGCATAAATAGACCTGCAGTAACCCTTAATGCCAGTTTTGGACTCTGTCTCCTGACCTTGAATACTGGAGGTATGGCAGAGTTAGTCATATCTTGATTAGTCACAGATGTTGAATTATAGGTTGTTTTTTTTTTCAATAAATTGGGCTTCTTCAAGTTGCTGTTTGGATGTCATATTAGCATTCAGGGCATGAAATATAAATCTATTTAGATTTTTCAATTAGGAGGGAATTTAATGTAGACAATTAAACACTTACAAAATCATTGAAAGGTTATGGGACTACCATCGAACTATGGGTTTCAGGTTTAACCACCATTGCCGCTCTTGCTATTGCCATCACAGCTGCTCACACTCATGAAGCTGAAAACTAGACATGAGAACCTGGAGTCCAGCTACCACAGGCACTTATGTTTTGGCAAACTTGCTTGTCAGCGTTCATAGCTACAAAGCTGGACTTCCTCACAATTCTACTTTCTAGATATATACGAACACACAATTGTCCCTTGCTATTCATGGCAATTGGTTCCAGGACTCCTCATGGATGCCAGTATCCATGAATGCTCAAGCCCTTCATATAAAATGTCATAATATTTACATATAACCAACACACATCCTCTCATATACTTCAAGTCATATCTAGATTACTTATAATACCTAATGCAATATCTAAACATTACTTTCTTGACATGGATTTAGTCTAGTACATGGCATGTGGCAATTTCAAGTTTTGCCTTTTGGACTTGGAGAAATTTTATTTTTCCTATTTTAGGTCTGCAATCGGCTGAATCCACAGATTCAGAACCCATGGATATGAAGGGCCAACTGCGTATTATTAGCAGAACCCAAATCACATTTAAAACCTTTGCTCCAAGTGACTTTAAAAAATGTGGTTTTTAGATGTCTAGTCTTTAAAATACAGAGGGCATACAAAGGAAGATGAGACTAGATTTCAAGTACCAGTAGCTAATATCCAGCCAAAACATGTACAAGGTTGCAGTCTTGCAAAAGGTTTTAAGACTAAACATTTTCTGAAAACTGCAACTTCTACATTACTTCATAAATATTTGCATTTCTGACTTTCTTTCTTTCTTTTTTTTTTTTTTGAGATGGAGTCTCACTCTGTCACCCAGGATGGAGTCCAGTGGCAAGATCTCGGCTCACTGCAAACTCCGCTTCTAGGGTTCAAGCAATTCTCCTGCCTCAGCCTCCCTGTATTTCTGACTTTCTATAGTAGGGGAAAGCTTATGGTTCTTATCCGTTTGTTACCGTCTGCTTTCTTCTCTCCTTGGCTTCCAAAGAATGCCCATACGTTGGTCAATTATATTGTCTCTTACTCAACACTTCCTGAGCATACTTTAAGTAAAAATGTTTTGGACAATCTATATCTAGGTACCTTTTAAAGTGGGACATGGTTTTGGTATAGTGCAACTTCTTTCTCCTGGCCTTTAATGTACACAAGCAAATTACTAATCAATTGATTGGCTGCACAAAAGATTAAATATCAAAATGAGTATTGAGAGAGAGAAGTGTGAGGGGCATTAAGTGGGGGAGCCTCATAATCTGTCAGAGTCTAACCTAGGAATGCAGATTAACCTCACACACTGTTTCCAGTTTGGACTATCTTACTTCTCATTTAATTGTAGATAATCTTATTCCAGCACTGCCAACCCATGAAGTGTATTGCTTCTTCTACTACAGTCAATCACTCTCCACACCCTACTTCACGTCCAGGATTAAATCTCAATAACTCATGAAGTAGAGTAACATGTAGCACTTAGTTCATTTCAAAAAATAAAGTGCCCTTTGATATCGTTTTTATGGCTATTTTCGTACCTTTTGCTTTTTAAAGAAATTAAAGCAAGAACATCCAATAAATAAATAAACAAAAAGTTACAAGTGCTGAGGGAAATACATTTTCCTTAAAATTATGTCTGCTGTAAGAATATTTTACCATACTCCAAATGAAGAGAATAGCACAGATACATCTAGAAACACGCATCATAGCTAAAACTTTTTCCAAAGGGAATAGCAGTTAATATCCTGTAGTGCCAAATCCATTTTTAACCAACAGGGACTTTACCAAGGGAGGTCCCTAACCCCCTAAATCTTAGGAAGAACTCTAAATGTCCTAAGTTGGGTCTCTAGCCTTGTTCCGTCCTTTACCCAGGATAAAATGTACTCTACCACTTACGCAAAGTCAGGCAAGTGGTGCTGAGCAGATAATTTTCCTTTGGGTTTGGGTCTCTTCCGTATAGTCCCTCTGTGGTTTGCCAGGAAGATGTTACTGGAAAGCGGTCCTGATCCAGACCCCAAGAGAGGCTTCTTGGAGCTCATGCAAGAAAGAATTTGGGGCGAGTCCATAGGTAAAGTAAGAGCAAGTTTATTAGAGAAGTAAAGAAACAAAAGGATGGCTACTCCATAGACAGAGCAGCCAAGGCCTAAGACTTTGTTGTTGTTGCTGTTGTTTGACAGAGTTTCACTCTGTTGCCCACGCTGGAGTGCAGCGGCATGGTGTCAGTTCACTGTAATCTTTGCCTCTGCCTCCTGGGTTCAAGTGATTCTCCTGCCTCAGCCTCCCAAATAGCTGGAACTACAGGTGTGTGACACCATGCCCGGCTAATTTCTGTAGTTTTAGTAGAGGCGGGGTTTCACCATGTTGGCTAGGCTGGTCTCAAACTCCTGACCTCAGGTGATCCACCTGCCTCTGCCTCCCAAAGTGCTGGGTTTACAGGCATGAGCCACTGCGCCTGGCCTGCCTAAAACTTTTTGACTAGTCAAAGTGTTTTTCATGTCTAAAACATAACAATTTAAATAATGATGTTTTTCTTTGTGAATGCTATAAGATTACGCTTTATAGAATATTAAGATCTGTGGCTTGATAACAGCTGTTGCCCACTTGTTTGGATTATTGGTTTACTTGTCTGCCTCCTGAACTGAGAGCTCTTTGAGGACAGCTATGATGAGGACCATGGCCAGCATACTGTGATCAATAGTAGAGGGCTGAGAGATGCTCCTTCACTAGGGATTTGCAGGACTGCTAGAAATTAGCCACATAGAAGAAAAAAACGGAGTCAGCACATTTTGGGCAGAAAGCAAGGTATGTCCGAAGGAAGCTGTTGCTGTGAGAAGATGATATGTTTGGGAAAATTCAGGCTGTTTAGTAGGGCTGCCCTGTCGAGATGTGCAGGGAAATGGGGACAAAGGAAGGCAGGGTCCACTACGCACAGAGTCAGGGTTATTAAGAGATGACGTTTCAGCTTTATCCTGAAGGCTACAGTGAGGAGCTTAATCAGGTCTATAGTTTGGCAAAAGCACTCTGTCATCTAGGTAGAGGATGCATTAGAGTGGGGAAAAGACCAGAGACAAGGAGTTCAGTTAGGAGACTATCACAGTAAATCCAGGCAAGGTCTCACGATGATTCTAACTACTGTTAAGTCAGTAGGTATATTGAGGAAGGGACAAACTTATTTGAGAAGTAATTAAGCAGGAGAATCTATTATAATTCTGCTAACATAGTAAACATGGTATGCCCTGAAGATAGGCTGCTGGGGTTCAAATTTTGCAGGCTCTACCGCAGTGCCATGACTTTGGATGAGTTGCTTAGCTTATTTGTATCTCAGTTTTGTCATCTATAAAATGGGTGTAGTAACACAACACAGTGGATGATTGTGGAGATTATATAAAATAATAGGTGAAGAGCATTTAACTCTCTGCTTGCCATACAGTAAGTGCTCAGTATATATTTGTTATTTTTTCTATTGACTGATTAGACTTGGAGGTTGAGTGAGAGGACAGATCTAGGTTGGTTCACAGTTTTCTGGCTTGACAAAGTATAGGATCATTGAATGCTCGAATCTGCATTATTAATATTGAGTTGTCTCTCCAGACAGGATAGTCCATGTTGATAATCCAGCCACAGTTATATATCAACTCCAGTCCAAAAAAAATTCCCCAAGAGTAACTATTAATATGTTCCATTTCACTTTATTTGGGATTACTAAGATTGTTAAAAGAAGATGATAAAAGACGGAGACTGGGCACAGGGTGATGAAGAATGCAGAGACCTTCATTTGGTACTGGCAGTACATTCAAGCATCTTAAGTTTAAACTGGGAAGAATCTCAATCATTTCTTGGACCAGCTACCTAAAACTAATAGAAAAAAGGCAATGTTTGAAAACTAAATGGATTTTTGGCATTCAACAGCTAGAGAAAATGAGTTTGGGGGCTGAGGGTTTGGGGGAGGGAGGGCGGTATTTTATAAAGGTCACTGTCCCAAATGGAAGTCAAATGCTTCATCTTCTTTAACTGCAACAGAATACAGCTTTTTCAAAAAATGAATAACCAGTGAAGGATATCTTGGTTTTCTTTCTTACCCATTAGAGATAACTGATAAAAGTTAGGCAATAGAAGAGCTAGTTGGTAAAAATTCATATTAATTAATTTGTTGGTAAAATTATATATTCTTATAAATTATAATAAAGCCATAATGTAGAATTATAATTATATCAAAATTATAAGTTATTTTGTTGGTAAAAATTCATACTATTTTATGTCTCCTTGGTGGCTACTCTGACACATTTTCTTTAGTTTTTTTTACTAGATCTAAATGAATCAGAGGGCAAAGATCTACATTTATCTTGTCAATTTCCCCATATCCTAATTATATGATATAATTATTGTATTTTATAATTATTTTATGTGTACATAATATGTACTTAGCATATATATCATATAATTATTGGATATATTATATTTTTCTTGTATCTTTGTCTCAATGCTACAAAGAGAATAATAGTAAGGATAATAAATTACTTTCTAACATTAGCTCTGACCATCATACACTGTAACAGAGCTTTGGCCAATGCGTGGGCAGTGGCATGCTGGAGCTGGCTGTAGTAGCAGCTCAGAAGAGCTGATTGCGAGCATTTCTTTCCAACTCCTTTTTCAGTGACCTCAAGCTGGAAGCTTAAAATGAGACATAGTGGGAGTAGTTATACCATAAATACAGTACAAATCAGGGCTTTTCCTCCTAACAAACTAGTTTACCAGCACATCATTGATTAAATGTCAGAAATATATATATATAAAGATCTATTTTGTGTGGTATCAGGTGGCAGGAGAGAGGAAAAGGAGAGGTTTTGATTGCTGGAGAAGTGAAAGGGTCTTGAATTCAGCATCAATTCATAAAATTGGTTGAATCATAGAAATCTGCTAAGCTTCAACTATTTTTGTTTACAACATATCATATGGTTCAACCTAATACATGAGGCTGCAAGTAACAGAAACCCCTACAAACAATAGCTTATATAAATAAAACTTTTTGTCACATTGCAAGGAATCCAAAGGTAAGAAACGTCCTGATACAGCTATTCAATGAACTCAGCGATGCTGTCAGAGACCTATCATCCTGTTGCATCATCCTTAGAAAATTGACTTTTGTCCAGGTGAGATGGCTCACGCCTGTAATCCTGGCACTTTGGGAAGTGCAGGTGGGCAGATCGCCTGAGGTCAGGAGTTCGAGATCAGCCTGGCCAACATGGTGATACCCCGTCTCTATTAAAATTACAAAAATTAGCTGGGCATGGTGGTGCATGCCTGTAGTCCCAGCTACTAGGGAAGCTAAGACATGAGAATCCCTTGAACCGGGGATGTGGTTGCAGTGAGCCGAGATCATGCCACTGTATTCCAGCCTGGGCCACAGGATGAGACTCCGTCTCAAAAAATAAAAGTTGACTTTTGTCCTCAGGCTTGTCATCTTATGGTCACAAATGTCTGCTGTGCCTCCAGGGACTATGTCTTCATTGCAGGCAGAAGAGAAGAGAAAGGCAAAGGCTGTCTTCTGTAAGTTTATCAATGTTAATCAGAAAGACAAAAGTTCTTTTCTATGTTATCTGTGTTAATCAGAAAGACAAGCCCTGGAGGCTCATTCAAAAACTTCTGCTTTCATCTCATTGACCAAAATTTGTCACTTCATTCCCAGACAAAGTTACAAGATTACTAAGATTACTAAGGCTGGTTTAGACCAATCATAATTTATCCCTGGCCCTGGGATGAATCACGATTGGTTTAAACCCATCCATAAATACTCGACAGAGGGAAAGATCTCAGCAGCCACCTGAACGAACTTAAGGTTCCATTGGCTTGGGGAGGGAGGGGTGGATATAGGAAGAACAACAAAGGAGATCTATCACAATGCCCTTGAATTATGAATCCAGGAATCTAGAAACAAAGTAACAAGCTTTCCCATTTCTTGGTTTAGCTATGTAAAAGTAGTTCTATGTGTGTGTGTGTGTGTGTGTGTGTGTGTGTGTGTGTGTGTATCAGTGGTTGTTAAGCATTGTATTTAATTAGCATGCAGCTCAAAAAGTAGTTTGGCAAAATTTATATATTATATGATCACAGCATTAAAATTTATTCTTGAAGTCTCAGTCTTTACACTTTAATCTTTACGTGGCACAGTGGTCTGTTTACAACTTTTAAAAAAGATTGAGAGGGCCTTAAAGTAACATCACTGATCTAGCACGTTGGCCTAATAGATTGTTGGGAGAAGATAATGATATAAGATAAGGTATGTTATAATATAAAAATTTCTGAATAAAGAGCCTAATGCTAGCCATTTTAAGGAAAGCAGAAGGAGTAAATATACTCTTCTGCAGTGGTGATGGCATCATTTAAAAACTCTCACAAGTTATTTACCTACCTTGACATTGCAGGATCATGTTATCCAAGTGATTTGTAGTCTTGCCTCTGGAATAATGGCAGATCAACCAGTATAAAACCCTGGGTAATATACTAGTCTGAGTTAACTGTTTATACTTCGCTTTCCTGTTGATTTACCTATGGCAAATAAGACAATGCATGTCAGTTCTGCTCTTGGCTAGACTTTGTAGAGTAGTAGGTACAATGCATGTTTTCCTGACATGGTTATAAAGTATTTTTTGTCACATTTATAAGCACGGCTTCAAAATTGGACACACTTAGGTTTTATCCAGAAGCTGCCCTTTACTGTCAATGTGGCTTAAAATAAGTTATTCAATGACTCAGCCTGGTTTCTTCCTTTATAAAATGAAACTTTATCAGGTTGTGTGAGGACTAAGTAAGAAAAGTATGTAAAGTATTTAAATCACGTGGCACATACTAAGAACTCAATTAAATGGAGGTGGTTTTTGTTTCTGTTTTCCTGTGTTTGCTTTAAAGAAAATTTTTCTGAAATGATTGCATTAGTGATAACTGCTCCTTTAATAATAATAAATAAAATAGATGTTTAAAAATAATAACAGAATAATAACTGTTATTTCCAAGGGCAAACAAACAATAACTAATTCTTACACTTCTTTTCAATACTATCTGTATATGTTTGGAGAATATGATTTTACTTTTTTGTCCTTCTGTCTTCAACAGCAAAACCATTCAGTCCCTCATTACTTGCCTATGAAAAATGATGTAACGATTAAAGGAATCTCTTGTTTGACTTTGAGATGATTATAAAACAAGGCATTTGAAGGCAATTCTATAACTAAAAGATAAAATCATTATCATTATCTCTCAATCTTTAATATTGGAATAAAGCAATATATAAGATCATGCGATTATGGTTATAATACTACAAAGAATCAACTAAAATGGTGGATATGCTGCCACTCACACTATGCATGATAGGTTTGATCCTTTATAAATACAAAACCACTTTTAGTTTTAAATCCAAGCAACCAGAAAGCTCAAACATACATTTTTGTATACTACACAATGAGAATTAGTATTCAAAGCCTAGACCTATAAGATCCTAAAGTACCATCTGAATAACAAGAGTAAAATTAAATCTAATTTAAATTTAGGGTCAAATGCATTTTATTGTATTCTGGTTCTTGGTATATGGTTAATGCACATATGGTTTGTGCATCATGATACAGCGAGCTAACAAATATATTTAATTGTTCTTGTAATAGCTTCATTTCTTAATTATATTGGCTAAGTAAGAACTTACAAACGATCCTCTACACATCATCAGATGACTCAACATTTGGCCATTGGCTTTATACAACTGTGTCATCCCTGCATTGTATCAAAGAAGGAATCTCACTGGACTTTCCATATGTCACTTAAAGCCTCTTCTACCTCAACAAAGAATGGAAAATATCACAACATCAGCCACTAGATGGCACACTAATAGCAGTGATATTCTAGCATCAGGCTGACAACATTTTTGACATCTATGGAAAGCTAGAACAATAGATTATATGGGTATACATTCTATTACTGAGTGAATATCAGCATAAAAAACTTTACTGTAAATGTGTATTTCTATATAGCAAGTTTTTTTTCCATTGACTTCCGTTATAAAATCAAAGGTGTGTTTCTCTGGGTAATGAAAGATGATGTGGGAGTTGAAGAAAGTTATCACATAGGGAAAGCAACAAGTCTCTTCTATTAACATATTTAAAGGAAAATTCTATTTCAACATTTTAATAAAGGTCTTGAAATGTCAAGAGTTGAATGTTGTGTAGTTAAGATTAATTTCATGTTTTGCACAACATCATGCAAGTCTAGAGAAATAAATGACATTTTAACTGCCCCAAATACCTGGGCTGAAAAATCACCCAGAGGTAATTCCCTTGAGTTTCTCTGAAATGAATCCTAACCCTCACAGAATGCTGATGGGTTTTAGAAATAAATAGTCTGGGCCAAAAGAAAGGAGGAGAACCAGACACAGCAGAGACAGCAATTAAAGGAGAACAGCAAAGGAACAAACACAGCAGCAGATTCTGCAAGCCCATAGAAGCAATTGAAGGAAGGAGAAAGCACATTGATTGAAAAGGGTACTTGGAAGGGGTAAGAGAATGCTGTGAAAAGAGTTCTTAGTGATGCAATGATTCGTTTTTAAAGTTATGAATTTCCACATAAGGAAGATATGCCTGAATAAAAACCAGATTCATTTCGTAATGAAACAAAAATTACTTTGTGGCTACAGTGTCTGTTTTAAACATCATTATTTATCAAATAACTCTTCTTCAAGGTCGGATTCACAGCTGTCTCTCAAATAGAAAACATTCATAATGATAGAGTCATGAGTCTCCTGTTATCTGGCTGTCTTTCCTTACCTAACCGTTCTCATCTGCCACGAAGCTCCAATTCATATTCTAGCCAGGCAAGCCTGCCCACTGCTCTCTGTCTTTGCTTCATCTCCTATACCCTTGTGCTTTGCTGTGGTAAAGATAGCTAATGTCCTTTCCATAGTGTAGCGTTGTTGCTGAGAAGCTCTGCCCAGCCAGGGCCCTCATTTTCCAGTCCTACCCTCCCTTGCATCCAGGTGGGACTAGTTCTTGCCGGTGGAATATGAGCTGAGATGATGTGTACCATGTCTTGGCCAAGTGGTTAAGAAGTGGTGGCACATACCCTGTGCTTTCTCTTTTCCCATCTGCCCACTGGATGTTGACACACAGGATGATCATGGAAGCCACATGTGGAAGGTGATGGAGACTTCCAGCCTACGGCTCTGCGTGAAGCTATGAAGCAGTCTTCCTTCATCCACACAGCCGACCTTCCACTCCTGCCACCAAGCAGGAACATCTGTTTTGGATTTTATGTGAGTGAGAAATAAGCTTCTATTGTGCTACATTATTATTATTATTATTATTATTATTATTATTATTATTATTATTATTTTACTGTAAATAGCCTTACTTTAATTTATTTGCAAAAGCTATTTTCCTACTTGGAATGCCTTTTTAATTATAGGAGAGACACAGACATTTCATTGAGTGCTATTATGAGGTAGGGACATCATAATGGTAACATCTTCACAGTGATTTATACATGGTATCGTTGTCTTATCCTTCCAATCCCAAGAGCTAGTTATTATTATCTTAGTGGTACAGCCTTGATGTATTCTAGTGGGTAATTCTGTTTTAAGTGTAGTTAGTTTCTGAATTTGAACATTTTACATTAGAAGGTCCAGCTGAAGACTTAATTCACTATCAGGAATGGGGTTGAGTATGCCAAAAATTGATAGGGAAAATATGGGAGATAGCCATATGGCAGTCTAAAATATTTAAGTCTGATAGTAGCATAGACACAGGCTTTGGGTTACATAAGGAGATCATAGAGAAAGATTAAATTGATAAACAGGGTAGGCTCCAGATCAAGAGTCATATTGAATGTCAAGCTTAGAAAGTTGAACTTTAGTTCATAAGCTGGGTGTGTGCATGCATGCATGCACATGTGTGCGTGTGTGTGTGATTAAATCTTTTGTGCAGTTAAGTGACATGAACCATTGCTTTAAGATCTGCTTGACAACAATATTATATATAACCAATTTACAAATTAACTTTTAGAAAATGTTTTCCATTATTATTATTAGGTTGGTGCAAAGATAATTGTGGTTTTCGCCATTAGAAGTAATGTACCAAACTAATATTATATTATTGTTGTGATGGAACTGTCTTATGTGCTGTAGGAGTTTTAGCAGCATCCTTGGTCTCTACCAACTGGATGACAGTAGCAACTCCCAATCTTCTCAAATCACGACAACTCAAAATATCTCCAGGCATTGCCAAGTATCCCATAGAGAACAAATCACCCCTGGTTGAGATCCAGTGTTCTAGAGAGACAAACAGTTCACAGAGTGAGACTTGTCTTTGTTTTTATTTGAAGACACACCACTGCCTGATCGTCTTAAATCAGGACAAGAGAAGCCCCTGTCCGTAGATGCTATCCTAACTTCCCCGTCTCCCATTTCTGCCCCCTCCTTTTGTCAGAAGACCCGGGTGCAGGTGGCTACACTTCTCTCCATAATGCAAGGAGTCTTGGGACCACAGAGATGTGGCCACCTACATCCTGTGGCCTCCTTTCTACCATATTCTAAGTATCCATGGCCAGGGAATTTTTTGTCCAGATAGTCTCATTTTCCAAGAGATGGTGCTTGGAGGAGGTAATGGTGGTGGTGGTGTGGCTTGAGTTTGGACATGCCGGCTGAGATATCCTTGTATCTATGCTCACAGTACTGGGCAGAGCCGGTATGGAGGAAAAGTCAGGTGATGGTAGGTTCTTAAAATTCCTGGGTGGATCTTCAAGAAGTCTGAGAATTCTAAATTTGAGTCTGGCCTTCTAGCCTTGGGTTCTTTTGAGAAACTTAGAAGACCAACACCGATGATGGTGGTGTGTAGGAGCACCTTGTGAACAGAGGTGGTCATGCTCAGCTGGACTGGGTGGGGTGCAGAGAAACCTGAGCCAGGTGGGACTTGGGCTTCTGTTTGCCTCTTGCTTCAGTCATAATTTGTGTTGCATAATCCCATGATGGGATAACTTTGTGGGAGGAAGAGCTTAAGCCTCTGAAATCATGAGAGTCTAGGATATAACCTGATTCTGCCTGTAGAATCTGTGTGGTACTGGGTGAGGCCAGGAAGGATTTGGATGCTTTTACTAGGCATAAAAGGAGGAGGACATCCAGAGGGCATGTGAAAAGGCTTGAAGATGTTTGTAGCATGATTCAGTGTTTGAGACCTGTTTAGGGAATGGGAAGACAAAGGGTGTGGTTGGAATGCAGTGTGCTTGGGGAGAAGAGAAGGTGATGAGTTTGTGAGGACTTTGTACAAGGGGCCAGAAGGCCACTCAAAGGAGCTGAGACTGTCTCCTGCAGCATCAGAGAGCTTTCGGGGTTGCTAAGCAGAGCAGAGGATCCATCTTTTATCACAGTTTAGCCCTGAAGGAAAATGAAAGAAAGTAGAAGCTAGGAGATGAGAGAGAATATAGTTTAAAAAATTCTAAGAGACGCAGGGCTGAACAGATAGTAGGTGTAGGAGTGAAAGGGGAGAGAATGGAGAGGTTTTGTAAATTCACAGTTGCTCCTAAGAATGACTGCACACTATGAACACACCAAAACATAGATTTATGCTTTTTCATTTTTTTAAAAACATTTAAGGCATAAAAGATCTTGGTTTTTACTCAGGGCTGCACCAGACTGTGAGAAACACACATTCATCCATCCAAACCCAAAGAATGGACTCAGAGACACAAAGAATAGCGGAAGTGAGACTTTTAATGGCAGTCTTTCCAGATAGGGTGTCAGGTAGGCAGGCACACCCAGGGCAGTTATAGCAGGTAATTTATCTCCCAGCACGCAAATCCCTCTTCCAGTTCCTCATCAGTTGAGTACTATGGGGTTACAATCTTCCCAGACATAACCTTAGTTTCATTATCCCCTTATAAGCCCATACCCCGGTCCCCTTTCCCGCTTAAATTTTGATTTCCCAATAACGAAACTTTCTTCCCTTTTATGGGCTGACTCCTCCTCTACATTCTGTCAGTTTATTGTGACCTTCTAGGTGCATGAGCCATGTGGTTTGTTACATCCACAGGCTGGCTGCCAGTACTTTGATCATGCCTTGAAAATGAACCATTTAAAATGTTTTCTCACAGGACAAAATTTTCAAGCAGAATTAAAAATAATAATTTCTAATTTTCATTTTTGTGGATATGTAGTAGTAGATGTACATACTTGTGAGGTACATGAGATATTTTAATATACGCATGCTGTGCATGATAATCACATCATGGAAATCAGGTATACATCCCCTCAAGCATTTATCCTTTGTGTTACAAACAAATCCAACTATACTCTTAGTTATTTTTAAATGTACAATTAAATTATTATTGACTGTAGTCACCTTGTGCTATAAAATACTAGTCCTTATTCATTCATTCTAATTTTCTGTACCCATTAACCATCCCCATGTCTCCTCAACCTCTCACTACACTTCCCAGCCTCTGGTAACCATCTTTCTACTCTCTATGTCCATGAGTTAAATTGTTTCAATTTCTAGATCCCATAAATAAGTGACTCTATACAATGTTTGTCTTGCTGTGCCTGGCTTATTTCACTTAACATGATGACCTCCAGTTCCATCCATGATGTTGCAGATACCTGAATCTCCTTCTTTTTTATGGCTAAACAGTACTCCATTGTGTATATGTACCACATTTTCTTTATCCATTTGTCTGTCAGTGGACACTTAAGTTACTTCCAAATCTTGGCTATTCTGAACAGTGCTATAACAAACATGATAATGAAGATACCTCTTTGATATACTGGTTTCCTTTCTTTTGCATATATACCCAGCAGTGGAATTGCTGGAGTGTATGGTAGCTCTATTTTTAGTTTTTTTAGGAAACTAAAACTGTTTCCAAACCAAACTGTTCTCTGTAGTGGTTGTACTAATTTATATTCTCAGCAACAGAGTCAAACAGAATTTAAAACTTTTACTTCCTTCCCCTTTTCAGGACTGCTTTGTAGACCTTCTATACCTCCACATGTTTTTTTACATTTTTTTGCTGTGTGCCTTTGTATGTGTGTACATGCTATTCTAAAAAACTAGTGCATAAAAACTATTATTTCCACAAATATAATTCCAGAAGTAGAAACTTCAGGCTAAGTAAAAACCAGGAAAGGCTATATTTGGAAGAAACAGGGATTTTGCTGTTCCTGAAATCTCTCTACCTTTGTGTCTTTCTGTGCTGCCAACAGTGACACCACGTCATGTCTCTGTTCCACAAAGGTTTTAACTGCTCAGGCATGGAATCAATATAGGGAAAGGAAAAACAAAAGGAGTATAATATTCTAATTTAAATCAACAGCACAGATTCCTATAACCTTCATTTTTGGGTGAAGATCATCCAAATTAAATATTAATTTGTGTACACAACTGCAGGAAAAGGTAACTAGTAACTAGTTTATAATTGGAAGATTTTGACAGGCAATTGTGTTCACGTTAACCTTTTTCTGGGACCTCTACAGGAGTGAGATGTCTCTGAATTATTAGGATTCTGCTCTGTAACTGGAAAATTCCATCATTCAATAAATTTTCAGACTCTATCCTTTGGGTCCAATGTGACTGTAAAATGACAGTTAGAGAATTGCAAACAATGGGCTCACAAGACCTGAATGAATTCCAAATCATCTAGTGGGCTTATTGAGCCATTTTCTGAACAATGAAAGAAATGTGGGAAATGCAGCAGCTACTTTAAAGAGCATTATTGTTCAACACTGTGCTGCCTTCTGTGCTATGCGTTCTGATACACTTTAAAGTTTATAGCATCAGGACATCTTGAGTTAGAAGAGGCCTTACAAAAACATTTAAATATGGCATCCCTTCCCCCATTTTATCTTTATATAGAAATATATATTGAAATTAACAATTAAAAATATTTAACCTACAAAAGTGTTGGGAGTACTGGGACATAAGAATAAAGCTCCCACATATTGACAATTTACCATGAGGCAGATGCTGTGCTAGATACTTTACAATACATCATTCTATCCTCATATAAATCCTATGAGGTACTTATTATGGTTTTGTTTTGTTTTAGAGATGGCATCTCACTATGTTGTCCAGGCTGGACTCAAACTCCTGAGCTCAAGAGATCTTCCTACCCAGGTCTCAAGTAGTTGGCGCTACAGGTGTGAGCCACCATGCCCTGAAGGACAGGGATTATCATTTCCATTTACTCATAAAATTGGTTGTGAAGTGACTTACTAAACAGTGTAATTTTAGCAGCAGGGAAGTCTAGGTTGGAACCTGTAGTCTTTCCTAGTTCCAAATCTCATTCATGGGATGTAGTCCTCAAGAAGCTCCCAATGTAGCTCACACTAGAAGCAGAAAGTGAAATCACAATAGAAAATGTAAATAACACAAACATACATATGGGCTGTCCTCAGAAGGTTCGTGATTCGTTTCAAATTGCTGATACAGACAAGAAGTGCCTTAGAAGTTCAAGGGCTCTTTACATAGAGAAATATATTTAGACCAAGAAGTATTAATATTTATGAACATTTATCCTGTGCAAAGTCCTGAGAGTAATGTGACACAACAAGGATAAAGCTAGCATGGACTGAGTCATTTCCTGGAGTGGTCAGCAAAGCCTTCTTGGAGCTGGTAGGAGGTGAAGTAGGACCTGTTGTTTAGATTGGATATAGTTGACTGTGCTAGCAGGGCATGTGAGGTAGAAGGAATGAGATGGAAAAATGTGAGAAAGTGAAAGAACAATGCTGGTCAGTAGGACATCAGCATACAGTTTGGATCAAAAGTTTACACAAAGAGGAGTAGGAGTTAAGGAATTGGAGGTCTTTGCAGTTATGAATTGATGGGTCCTCCGGCCATTCTGAAAGCAACGGTGAATATCAAAGCTTTTTGAACAGAAGTATGAGCAATAAATTTACCTAGATGGCCAGAGAATTTACTCACAGAAAGAGGAAAAAAAATTACTCAAGGAAAAATATCCATCCTGAATTAAGAGAAACTATGGGTCTGATAATCCCATTAAAGAAGTCTATACTGATGATAGTTTGTGCTTGATGAGCTTGGTTTCTTACAAATTAATAGGAAACACTCTCTGTTGTCTCCCATGTAACACATAACTTTCCTTTACCCCATCTATTAGAATTAAGGAGAAGTAGCAGGCCTGGGAAATGTTCATGACAACAATGAGGACATATTTTCTAAGAATCATGCTAAAAAGGGATATAGGCTAGATGGGGGGGTGTATTCATCTGCTAGGGCTGCCATAACAAAATACCACAAACAGAGTGGCTTAAATGATGTATATTTCTCATAGTTCTGGAAGCTGGAAGTTCAACATTGAGGGGTCTCTTTTTGGTTTGCAGATGGCTGCCTTCTCACTGTGTCCTCACATGGCAGAGAAAGATTGCTTAAGATCTCTCTCTCTCTTTGTTTTCTTATAAAGCCACTGTCTTATTAGATTGGCATCCCACCCTTGTGACGTTCAATATATGAATTTTGGGGAGACAGAATATAGTCCATAGGAGAAGTTTGGGTGAAGCCACTTAATCAATTGAACATTAGAGATTTTTCATTTACCTAGGGTTTTGGAAACTATATGGAAGTTGAAAAATCATCACTATAATAATTAAAGAGGTAATATTTTCCATTACACTCTCTCATTGTTTTATAGAACCTGTTCATAATTCCAAAATTTATAAATACTATTCTTTTTATATATCAAAATTAAGCAAATCATGACATATGATTAATGAGTCAGTTTGGATGATTGTATTATAGCTACATGGATTAACATAGGCTGCCAGATCCACCTTTTGCTAATAATAGTTTCCATTTAATTGATCACTGAGCACGTGCTGGGGTTTTACATACGTTATCTCATTAATCTTCACAATAACACTATAATGTAAAGACTTCCATTCTACAGGTGAGAAAACTGATGCTCACAGAATTTAAGTAATAACACAAGATATCGCCAAATTTCAGGTTCAGCCTTGGTTGATTTCCAAGCCCACAATTTCCCCCATACCATCTTGCCATTCTTGATATGCTATTGTCTTTCACTGCATTGATGATGTAACAGATAACAATGACATTTTCCAAAATTAAGATCTTGAAAGAATAGGGGACAATAACCATCAGAATCACCTAGTGATTTTCTTTTTTAAACCTAGATTTAGTTCTTATCTACAATAAAACACAAACATGCATACAAACCCGGTCTATGGAATTCGAATGGCTAAGGATGGGACCTGAGAATCTGTACTTTATCAAGTTATCTAGGTGGTTCTAATGATTGACAAGACTTGAGACTGCAGTGGGTTTAATGGTGACTCCCCAAAATATATGTCCACATTCTAATCTCTGGAAACTGAACATGCCCTTATTTGGAAAAATAGTCTTTTTAGATGTAATTAATTAAGGATCTCAAGATGAGACCATCCTGGATTGTCTAGGTGGGTCTTATATTCAATGACAAGTATCCTTAAAAGAGACACAGAAAAGAATAGAGGGGTAAAGGCAGAGGCAGAGATTGGAGTTATGCAGCCACAGTCAAAGAACGCCTGGAGCCACCAGCAGGTGCAAGAGGCAAGGAAGGCTTCCCATTTCAAAAATATTAAGCTGACTCTTGTAAATAGTACTTACATTAACTGGGAAAAGTCATTCAGTCTAGATAGTTAATCCCATTATGCATGTGGGCTTTATGTGAGTCTTAGAGCCTCAGGAAAGTATTCATTCAATTCCTTCCTAGGTGCTAAGGGTGAGGCTAATATCAAACAGGAAAATTAGACAATAATTACCCAGAGAATAAGTACCCACAAAGAGGGTAGAAGATGACAGTGGGAGGCATCTCTTTTATCCTGTGACTTTGGAAGTGCAAATGCCATTTCCTTCTATTCTTCAGCAAGCATAGTGCCCAGTGATGAAGCCTTTCCCAGTCCCTTGAAAGACAAATAGTACAACATAGACAGGAATGCTTCTATAGTTAACGTGATTAAAAACACAAGTAGAAGATAATTCACCAAGGTCTTCTTGTGTATTATGCCAATAATATCTGTCCTGTCTCTTAATATCATGTCATCCTGAAGGACCCAGAACTGGATACCAATTATTGTTCTACATGCCAATTATAAATAAACAAGAATATCATGTAAGTATTAAGTCATATTTTGTTGCCAATTAGAAAAATATGCAATGTTATGTTGGGCCAATCCAACATGATATTGCCTCTATTGTATCTGGATTCTTGCCATAAATGGAGCCCTTTGATATTATGCTAGTACATTGTATTATAAATTTATTAATGATTTTCCCAAAGTTTTGTTTCTAGCCTAACATCTTTCCTAAACTCCAAGCTGGAAGTTTCTAGATTCCATAGAATGTCACTTGCTATCTCCATTTGAATAACTAGCTAAAAATTTTAAAAAAAGTTTGATTTTCTTCCTCAAACTTGCTTCTTTCCCAATGTTCTCCATCTCAGTTAGTGGCCTGTTTGCCCAATTGCTTAAGTCAGAAACCAGAGTCATTTTCTCTTCTCTTTCTGACAATCACCTTACCTCAAGCCTATATTAGATACCATTGGCACCACCTTCCAAAAACTCTGAATCCTACTACTTCTTTCCTCCTTAGCTTGCTCCATCATCTGTCACCTAGATTACTGCAATAGCATTTTAACTGCTTTCCCTGATTTTACTCTGCCCTCCCCCACAGCTTATTTTCCACCCAGCAGCCAGAGTTGTAACATATAAACCAGTCTGTGTTGAATTATGTTTCACCTACTTAAAGCCTCCTGATGACTTCTAGATTATTCAGCATATAGGTAACTATTGAAAATGAAACTCCAAATAGCTGTAGGTTTAACAAGATAGCGAGGTTAATGATGCCTCCACAGGTCAGAGACCCAAGCTACTCCATTTTCTTTTTCTTTTTTTTTCTTTTCTATATTTTTTCTGTTTTTTTAAAAATTATTATTATTATTATACTTTAAGTTCTAGGGTATGTGTGCACAACATGCAGGTTTGTTACATATGTATACATGTGCCATGTTGGTGTGCTGCACCCGTTAACTCATCATTTACATTAGGTATATCTCCTAATACTGTCTCTCCCCCTTCCCCCCACCCCACGACAGGGCCCGGTATGTGATGTTCCCCACTCTGTGCCCAAGTGTTCTCATCGTTCAATTCCCACCTATGAGTGAGAACATGTGGTGTTTGGTTTTCTGTCCTTGTGATAGTTTGCTCAGAATGATGGTTTCTAGCTTCATTCATATCCCTACAAAGGACATGAACTCATCCTTTTTTATGGCTGCATACTATTCCATGGTGTATATGTGCCACATTTTCTTAATCCAGTCTACCATTGATGGACATTTGGGTTGGTTGCAAGCCTTTGCTATTGTGAATAGTGCCACTATAAACATACGTATGCATCTGTTTTTATAGCAGCATGATTTATAATCCTTTGGGTATATGCCCAGTAATAGGATGGCTGGGTTAAATGGTATTTCCAGTACTAGATCCTTGAGGAATCACCACACTGTCTTCCATAGTGGTTGAACTAGTTTACAGTCCCACCAACAGCGTAAAAGCATTCCTATTTCTCCACATCCTCTCCAGCACCTATTGTTTCCTGACTTTTTAATAATCGCCATTCTAACTGGTGTGAGATGGTATCTCATTGTGGTTTTGATTTGCATTTCTCTGATGCCCAGTGATGATGAGCATTTTTTTCATGTGCCTTTTGGCTGCATAAATGTCTTCTTTTGAGAAGTGTCTGTTCATATCCTTCGCCCACTTTTTGATGGGGTTGTTTGATTTTTTCTTGTAAATTTGTTTAAGTTCTTTGTAGATTCTGGATATTAGCCCTTTGTCAGATGGGTAGATTGTAAAAATTTTCTCCCATTCTGTAGGTTGCCTATTCACTTTGATGGTAGTTTCTTTTGCTGTGCAGAAGCTCTTTAGTTTAATTAGATCCTATTTGTCTATTTTGGCTTTTGTTGCCATTGCTTTTGGTGTTTTAGTCACGAAGTCCTTGCCCATGCCTATGTCCTGAATGGTATTGCCTAGGTTTTCTTCTAGGGTTTTTATGGTTTTACGTCTAACATTTCAGTCTTTAATCCATCTTGAATTAATTTTTGTACTCCAAATAGCTGCAGGCTTAATAAGATCGTGAGGTTAATGATGCCTCCACAGTTCAGGGACCCAAGCTACTTCATCTTATTTTTCTGTTATGCATAGAGTATAAAACTTGTCCATATGGTTCAAGGTGACTCGACATCACCACATCTGCTTTCAGGCCAGTGGGAAGTGGAAAAGAGGAGGCTATGCCCCTTTGGGAATATATATATATGTATATCACTTCCACTTCATACCATTTTAGCCCAAAATTAGTTGTGCTACCACACTTAACTGCAAGGGACGCTTAGAAATACAATCTTTATTCCGTGTACTCAAGTGCTAAGCTGAAAATTAAGGGTTCTATTGCAATAGCAAAAGGGCAGAATGGATACTGGGGAAGTTATGGTAGACTAGGTTGTGATAATACATAGACCCACGTGTGTTATGCCTCGACAAAATGGAAGTTAATTCTCTCTCACGTAAGAGTTTTTGGTGAGTGAACTGGTTGTTGGCCAGGCTTTTCTCAATGTGGTCATTAGGTTTCCAGGTGATGGTGGCTCTGCCATCTTCAACATATGGATTTGAAGGCTGTCATCCACCGTTCTATCCCTGAAGGCAAGAAAGGAGGAATGACACAGAGATGCGTGGGTGGATAATTTTTATTGTTCAATCCTGGAAGTAGTGCACCTCACTTCCACTCACACTCCACAGGCTGGCTCTCAGTCATATGACCACACTGAGCTGCAACGTATGCTGTGAAGTGTGGCCTGGCTAGGTGTCCAGGAAGAGAGCTGAACAAAGATTTGGAACACCTCTCAAGCTTCCCACCTTCTTTATTTTTTAATGAAACCCAAAGCATTTACCACAACTCAAAGCCCTTACAAAGCGATGGCTTACAAAGATGACTACATCTCTACACTTTCTTCACTCTTCCCCTTGCTGATTTTAATCCAGCCTCATTGCCCTCTTTCTCTTTCTTGAACTTACCAACTTTGTTTTCATCCAAGGATCTTTGCAACTGCTGTTTATTCTGTCTGGAACTCTTTTCCCCAGTTTTTCACATCTCACTTCTGTTCTTCACTGAGTTCTCTACCTAAAAGCAGATCTCTCCTCAGAGAGATCATCCTTAGGCATTGTTTTCACACCCTCTGTATCCTTGATCATTTACCATCACTGTCAAATCTTTTATCATGTTTTTTTTTCATGGAAACCATCACCTGTTCATTTGTTCATTTATAGACTGAAGAAAGTAAGTCACATGATGGTGTTATATGTTTTGTTCATTGTTTTGTCCCTAATTGCCTAGAAAATTGCCTTGTGGGCATACAATAAATACTTGTTAAATTTAATTAAGGTAGAAACTCTCTTGGTTATACATAAAATTTAATTTCTTACAACATTCTATGAGCCAATACCTTTCCACTCTTGCAGATTTTCTTTCTGAAACAACGCTTTCCAGATGCCTGATATTTTCACCCCCTATTTGTAGAATAAAGGTAATTACATATCTATTTCCTAGAATGATCATCAAGATTGTGCAAGAGAATGTAAGTAAAATGCTGAGCATAATATGTGACACATGGTAAGTGTCACTACAAGTGTTAGCTATGACCACCACCACTCCTTCCCCCTCTGCCGCCTCTAAATTCCTGTAGGGAAACCACTAAAAATATGAAAAGGGAGAAATTTCTTAATTATTAACATATTTCTAAAATATTATTTATGTTAAATTATATACATCAGTTTAGGAGGAAAAATAAAGGACCTAAAATATGGCTATCTGCTATCCTAATGGTAAAGTGAAAAATGGGAAAGTTATGAATTGCTTTTCATTTATTCAGGTTGTTATTTTATAAGGAAATATCCAGATTCGAAACCTCTCCAGCATCAGTTTGATTGCAATAATATAACAGTTTGGAATATTGCAGTCATTCTTTTAACATGACTTATTGAAGAGAAAGCAGAACCAAATCCTTCTGGTAACAGTCTATACTGTGTCTAATGCATTATTGAACACAACAAGGATTTCCATTTGGTTTTTACTTTCAAATTAAGAATGCATTCTGCTGCAAAGTTGACGAATTATATCTGCTATATGCCAGTTGACAGAACCATTAAGGGTGATATAGTTACACTAGTTAATACGGTATCTTGGCAAATTTTTGTGAAAAGCTATGATCAAAACATCCCATGTGAGTGGAATCAACCGGGAAATGGCCACCAAACACTAAAAGAGCCTGAGAATATTTAGCTAGTAAAAACTTTGAAGAAATTGTTTCATAAATAAAGCATTGCTCTATTTGTCTTCATAGTGATAATTTTAAAAAATAAGCTCTCCCTTGAGCCTTCAGTATAAATATCTCATTCCCTAAATGTTGCAGAATAATTTCAAAGATCCAGTATTGGGTTACCAATAGACAGGGTGAGTGATGTGGTCTTTGACTCTCTCATTGCCCACTCAGGGACTGACAATTTTTCCTTCCTAGCTCTAGCCAAGGAGGGTTAAAGGTCCTGTATATGATACAGTATGGGCACAGCATACATCTGCTGAAAGAGTTGCAATTTTTGACAATGATTAAAATGCAATTCGTATGAAATATCAGTACATGAAAGATAACACTCTTCCTCCCTGCTTCCTAACGCTCACCACACTCAGTTTTCAGTATTCACCTTGTCCCAACCCCTACTTAGTACTCACTACACTGTTAACCAACTGTTATTCTACTTCAAGATTAGTACCTCACTGGGAATTGTAGACTCTAAATGGATACAGAAATAGAACTGCTGATGGGGAAAAAAGAGAGGTTATGATGTTGGCTTGCTCAGATGATAACTCTATTTCAGTGGGGGATGGCACCTATTTTTCCGGTCAGGGCAACCCCTTGTCCTGAAGTTGACCTCGGCCAGTGGGGGAGAGCCAAGGTCTTCCTCTTGCTTTGGGGTTGTTGCTGTTCTGGTTCAAAGGGTAGTGTTTGTGCCATCCAAGATTATATTTCTCAATCCCTATCCATTAATGATGCGATTAGTGGAAAGTCCCTCTGAACTTTGACATATCTTCTTCTCTTATTTTCAGTTTACAATACTGGTGCCAGTTTTTATCTTTTTGTATATCCTCGTAGGTGTTTTAATGGGAAGTTAAGAGAAGGTCTGTTATGTGTTGCTAATTTGCTGCCTTGTTAACCTGAATGTTGTCTAAGTTGTTTGATTTTGTTTATTATTAAGAAAGATCAATTGAGCAGAATAATTGAATCTCAGGCTTAATGGAATCAAAATGACACCCCAAGGACCAATCTTAAATACTCAGTCTCTTTTAATATTAGAGATAGAAAAGAAATCAGATATCATCTAGTCCAAATCCTTGCTTTATCTTAGGAATCCAATGGCCAGAGATCAATGACTTGCCCAAGGACAGAGGTAGTCAGTGTTAGAGAGCAGGTTCTCCATATCAGCTGGATAATATTACTCTGTATCTTTTATTTGTTGTAATTTGAATAAAAGCAAAGAGAGGCAAAAAGGTAGGAGAATTACCAAATATTTATTATGGGTCAGGCATATGTCAGATGTATTAAATATGTTCTCTATTTTGATCTTCATCACAACCTATTGAAAGTATGTGTTGTTATCCACATAATACCAGTAGAGGATTTATATTTATTGAAAGTAAGATATTTATTTATTTATTTATTTATTTTTAGAGATAAGTCTGGTTGTGTCACTCAGACTGGAGTACATTGGTGAAATCATAACTTACTGCACCATCAAACTCCTGGACTCAAGTGATCTTCCTACTGAAACCTTTGGAGTACCTAGGACTATAGGTGCATGCTACCATGCTCAGCTAAGTTTTATATTTGTTTTTGCAAAGACATGATCTCACTACGTTGCCCAGGTTTGTCTCAAACTCCTGGCTTCAAGCAATTGTCCTGCCTTGGCTTCCCAACATGCTAGGTTTAGAGGTGTAAGAGATTTTTATTTTTAATGACCAGATTGTGTTTGTATCTGAAATACCTTCTATTAATACTGAAGTAGCTGAGAAACTGAATTAGTAATTACAGAGTCACTTTGTGACTACTATGATGAATGAAAAAGCCTATGGAAAAATTGGAAGGATATTTATTAGGAGGTGAGGCTCTGTGAGTTACTCCTATCCTAACTGAACACACACATCTTAATAATCTATCTTCATTCATCCAAATTCCTCATAGGCTGTAGTTTGACAAATATTACCATTTTATGAATCTTGGGTTTCTCTTTTCTATGCTTCACATTGGCCACCCAATTTGGTTCAGACAGGGTAAGTAAAATTGGCTAGATTTTCCCTTACGTTGTAATCCTGCCTCCTAGAAATCACACCATTCTTTTGATTAGAGTTTTGACTGTTGTCAAAGTTCTCCAGGTAAAGATTTACAATCTCTAGATTTACCTCCATGATGACTAATCTCATTCATTTTACATAAATGAGAAAACTTTTTCCTTTCTAGAGAACAGACTTACTTATTTTCTTTCTGAAATTTTAGTAGAAAGTGAACTTTCATTTACTACTCCCATGTATTCATTATCTAGATTATTGTGAGA